>NC_000009.12:61281966-61468808 GCF_000001405.40 Homo sapiens | reverse complement strand
GAATTCAGAATAAGAAATTATGGGGGAAAATTCAGATCTAAAATTCCTATAACAGGAATTATTTCCCAACCAAGTGAAAAGAGGTTTGGCTTCTTTTGTGAAATCTCATCTAAGAAATAATCATGCATTTTAGCATTATGTAGTGTAAGTGAAAAAAATTAAAGTGGAGGTTAAATTAAAATAAATGAAATCATAGGCCAAATTTTATTTAGGATATGCTGTGAAATGTGAAAAATGCTACCTGAAAATATAATTGTGTACTACCATTTATCTAAAATATGTTAAATATCTACCCTATAGGTGTTTTTGTGTGTTGCGATGTATGTATATTTGGGAGTATTTAAAAACGTATTTTTTTATACTGACTGGGTGGAAATACCTAGATTTGCTTTTCTAGTAACACTTTCTTTGGTATTAGGTACTTTAGTCAAATATATAACTAAAGATTAAATTCTAATGTTAACAACAACACAAAAAGTAACAGGACCTAACACACTGTTAGGGTACATAAGGATAAAAATTTGCAGTCCAGAATGTTCTATGAATAGAAAGAGATAAAATAGACATTTGATTATTTCCAATATTAGAAGTTAAATATTAAAAGTTTCACTACAACCGTCAGCTAATTTCACCTAAATTACAAATGGCAATGCTTATGACATCACTTCCCTTTACTATGTGGGCTTGTTTTGTGAAACAAGAACAGTACTTATAAGAAGCAGTGGTGAGTGCCTGACTTTGACGTAAGCAGTATTACTCCACACCAGTCCAAGCATATAGGAAAGTAGTGTCTTGAACTTACTCCCACCCTCTTGAGTTACAATATATAACCTAATAATGGAACTCTAAGTTTGAAAAGTAAGGAAAAGGATGAAAGTACACACTCTAGTTAAAGAAAACACAATAACTGTAAAATCTTTTTATTTAAAGACAACTGTTTGTAGAAAGAGTCATATTAATTCAGAATAAAATCATAAGGCATTTGTCTAAGTCAGGAGTCTGCAAAGGTTTTCTGTAAAACGCAGATAGTAAACACTTTTGGTTTTGTGGGTCACACCTGGTTTCTGTTGCATGTCCTTCTTGTTATAACCCTTTAAAAATACAAAGCAGGGCTGGGCGCGGTGGCTCATGCCTGTAAACCCAGCACTTTGGGAGGCCAAGGCGGGCGGATCATGATGTCAGGAGATCGAGACCATCCTGGCTAATTCGGTGAAACCCCGTCTCTACTAAAAATACAAAAAAAAATTAGCTGGGCGTGGTGGTGGGTGCCTGTAGTCCCAGTTACTCGGGAAACTGAGGCAGGAGAATGGCGTGAACCCAGCAGGCGGAGCTTGCAGTGAGCCGAGATGGCGCCACTGCACTCCAGCCTGGGCAACAGAGCGAGACTTCTTCTCAAATAAAAAAAAATAAATAAATAAAAATACAAAGCAATTATTCATTTCGGCTTATATAATATGCCATAGACCGTGATTTGTCTACCTCTGATCTAAATGAATACTTAATTTTAACATACAAATATGAAAGAGGCACCTCATTTCATAATGGTGTAATGCCAATGACAAGAGAAATTGAATAATTAAATTGTATATTATGAAATTATATAGCTTTTAAAAATTTTATCCTTTGCCTTATTTTAAAAAAGAAGCCTGCTTATATTGATTCTGTAAGTATTGTCTCTTTCAAACTTGTGAGATATAATTTCTTACTTTCTTTTCCCAATCATTCAAATATTAGGTATTAAACCTAATATTGGCATGACACTGAGTCCACGCAAATACCCTTTTCTCCAAAGATTATAGTAAATATACATCAATATTTATCACTAGAGGATTGAGTTTTCTTTACAGTGTTCATTAAAATGAAAAAAATGAAGTATAGAATTTGTACTTATGTGTTTTTCATTGACCTCTCTTTGACCTTATACTGTTAATCACTAGCACAATTTCAAAAAATAGTCAATGAAGATTCCTCTTACTGGAATAAATGAAGCACCCCTCAATGCCTGTACTCTTATTTCCTCCCTGAAAGTTCCATAAAAATTAAATGTTGTGTTTAGATTTCTATTTTAATAACTGAAGCTTTATCTCTTTAACTTTAATATTTTCTGCTTTAGATTTCTAAAGTAAAAGCCTCCCTCATATTTAAGGCTTCTTTTTAGCTTATCGAAACTATACATAACCTCACAGACACTTGGAAGTTTAACATTTAACACCATATTTGTTTAAAAGTTTGAAGACTAAAATCTTTTATATTTTTATATTTACAAAAGAAATATAAGTTTAAATGGTACAGCAGAACCTTCTGAAGAATGGGATAGAGAGTGAACTTTGTATAATTCTACTGCATCTCACTAATCATTAAGAAATAAACACATTAAGTTAAGAATTAAGAGGATTATTAATTCAATAAATATTTTCCAGTAATGAATTATAGGAATATCAACAGTTCTGCTAATCTTTCTTTCACCATGTGGTGTTTCCTGACACATAACTTAGGTTATCTTTTTTTTTTGAGACCTGAGTCTCGTGCTGTTGCCTAGGCTGCAGTGCAGTGGTGTGATCTCTGCTCACTGCAAGCTCCACCACCCAGGTTCACAGCATTCTCCTGCCTCAGCCTCCCGAGTGGCTGGGACTACAGGCACGCGCCACCACACCCTGCTAATTTTTTTTTTTTGTATTTTTTTTCAGTAGAGACGGGGTTTCACCATATTAGCCAGGATGGTCTTGATCTCCTGACCTCGTGATCCACCTGCCTCGGCCTCCCAAAGTGCTGGGATTACAGGTGTAAGCCACAGCGCCCAGCCAGGTTATTCTTAAAAGAAAATGAATTCAATAACTCTGTTAGAAAAAAAAACTAAAATCCAGGTGTCCCGCAAAAAGTTATGAAACTTTCAGGACAAATTCTAATCATAAAGTACTGCATGGATATGAAATCAAACAAATAAAGATATTAAGACCCATGAAAATTTTAGCCCGGTTATTTTAACTTGTGTAAGCATATGAGGTTGGCAAGAAAATTGTCACTGTGTGTTATTGCAGTGACAGACTTCAATGCAATGTTGCCACAAGTTCTCAGTCTAGCAGCTTCCTACAAGAAGGATGTGAGGACTGGCGACACAACAGTCAATTTTGTATTCTCAATATCATGGAAGGAGGCATGGCATTGAATAGCAGAAAGATTCCATAAAGGTAAGTTTAAAAGAATTTGACCTTCAGTCAATCTCTATTTCAGGCATGAATGCAAAAAAATGCAGGCTATATGCACAACCTGCAACCGTACAGAGTGCTGCTTGAAAAACACTTCAAAAAGATGAAATCACAGACCAGAAAAAAAAGAATGGACAAATGACAGTACAGAAGGTAAGTCTGCATCTGCGAATTAGACTTTCTCTTTCTTTCTCTCTCTCTCTCTTTCTTGACAGAGTCTCACTCTGTTGCCAGGCTGGAGTGCAGTGGCACCATCTCGGTTCACTGCAACCTTTGCCTTCCAGGTTCAAGCAATTCTCCTGCCTCAGCCTACCCAGTAGCTGGGACTACAGGCTCCCGCCACCATGCCCAGCTAATCTTTGTATTTTTAGTAGAGACAAGGTTGCACCATGTTGGCCAGGCTGGTCTTGAATTACTAACCTCAGATGATCCACCCGCCTCAGCCTCTCAAAGTGCTGGGATTACAGGTGAGAGCCACCGCGTCTGGCCTAAACTTTCTATTAAAATAAATCTAGGAGATCCAGAAATCCACAACCACCAGTGATTGTTCCAAGTCTCTCAAGGTTTCTTTGGTGCAAATAACATTTTCCATTTATCTGGCATCAGGAAATTGGTGGGTTTTTCTTCTTCTTCATTTCTTCATATTAACCTGGCTACCCATGGGTAGAGTCAGCAGGGCAACATTAAATAGAAAAAAAAAAAAGATGCCCCCATACGATGGCCTGAGAGTGGAGACCAGTGACTCAAAAGCAGAAGGCTGGTTCCAAAACATCAAACTTCTGCAGTCTCAGCTTCAGGTGAGGAAGGCAGCTCTCACTCAGGGAAAGAGCCAAAGTTAGAAACAGTGCAGCTCTTGCCAGTCATTGACCTAAGGCCAGGCGGCTCCTCAGATGACCTGCAAATTGGGGACACACCACGGCATGCAGCAGCTGGGCTGAAGGATCCTGCTCCCAGTGGATTTTTGCAGGGGACATTCTGATTCCCTTAGCTGACGAATATGATCCTATGTTCCCTTATGATTATGAGAAAGTAGTGAAGTGCCAGAGAGAGGAACGACAGACACAGCAGGAGCTAGAAATATGAAAGGAAATAGAAGAAAGGGAAAAGAGGCCTGAAGACAGGCAAGAAGTTAGGGGAGTTCTGATCAAGGCGACCAAATCCAGATTCTGATGAAGGGGAAGATTAGGAGGGAGAGAGGAGGAAAAGTAGTAGGGTGGAGCTGCCATTGCCCTTCCCACTTCTCTGGTAGAGAAAGACCAAGAGTCACCCCGAGATTTTCCTTATGAAGAGGATTCAAGACCTCAGTCATGGTCTTCCAAAGCAGCCATTCCTCCCCCAGTGAAGGAGGAACAGGACAGACTGAGATCTCCAAACCGGCCTAGCAGCTCCTTCCTCGCTAACGTGGTGGGAACGGTGGCGCACAACATCATGCAGAAGCGCGGCTTCCGGGAAGGCCGGGGCCTCGGGGAGCACCTGCAGGGGCCGCGAGATGCCTTTCCGGTGGGGAAGACTAGCAGATCAGGCGGCAAGATCATCGTGGGCGACACCGCAGAGAAAGATGCATTGAAGGATCAGGTACAAATCCACTGACTGAAATACTTGAGTCCTACTAAGGTGGTCCTACTAAGGAACATGGTTGGCGAAGGGGAGGTGGAAGAAGACTTGGAAGTTGAAACCAGAGAAGAATGTGTGATGACATATTTTTCAGTTGATATGGTTTCCTATGAGACATAGCATCATTAAGGATAAAATAAGTGAAACTGAAAAGAGTATAGTTAATCTAGTTTTCATAATGAGTTCATTCTATTATGTTTCTTTTTCTTTTCCATTGTCAATTTATATTGGCTCAGAGAAAACAGGCTTGATGGATAAAGTCCATGGTATTTCCCAATTTTGCCATGAAAAATATGGCAAAGTTGGAAAACGTGTGATATGTGAAATTCTTGGTGTCCCTGATGATGAAGCAGTACAGACCTTTTTAGAATTTGAGAGTTGAGTCAGCAATTAAAGCTGTTGTTCACTTGAATAGAAGGTATTTTGGTGGACAGGTGGCAAGAGGATGTTTTTACATTTGTACAAATTCAGCATCTTGGATTTGGTGGAACAAGTTTGATTTTAAGAACTAGAGCATGAGTCATCTCTGGTGACCCTTAAATGACCAGCAGGCTGAGAAAAGAAGGAAAAAGCTCACAGCCTCCATGGCTGTTAGATACTGAGACTCTTGGAAGGACCTCCAAGGTATACGTTGATTGATCCCTTTTCATTTTGTGGTTTTTAAATATTGTATAAAAATCCAAATCCTTTTTAATAAATAAATAAAATGTGCAGCTGACTAGTTTCAATCATTGGTAGATATTATACTGTAGGAATGAAGTTAGTGTCTGCAGCTGTACATATTCAGGCCATTCTAAATATATAAGCTAGTTAGGAAGAAAATACTGTGGATTTTATCCATCAAGCCTGTTTTCTTCAGGCCAGTATAAAACAAATGGAAAGGAAAAAGAAACATAATGAAACAAACTCATTATTAAAACTGGATTACAGGATTAATTTTAATGTTTTCAGTTTCACTTATTTGACTCTTAGTGATGCTATGTGTCATAGGAAACCATATGAACAGAAATATCCCAAGAAGTAAATTTGCTTAGAAAACAGAAAAGGGCTTATTAGTCTCTTTCAGTGCACTGCACAGCATTCAAGAAGAATTTGGGTCATGTGGTCTTTAAATTACTAAAACGAGTAATGAATACTAGCGGAACCAAAGGCTGTTTCTATGTGAAGAAATGATCTATTTTGGGTTTACATACATCAGTAAAATTTAACAACCAGCTTATGCTGTTAAACATGGTGGTTAGAGCTGGTGTTTCCCGAAGTTTACTATACAGATGGGTAAATAAAGTTACAAAAACACACACAAGGAATGCAAAATTCACTGGAAAAACTAGGTATGTTAAGAATATTTTAAAAACTAAATTTTAGGCTGGGCATGGTGGCTCATGCCTGTAATCCTGGCACTTTGGGAGGCTGAGGTGGGTGGATCACCTCAGACCAACCTGAACAACATGGCAAAACTCTGTCTCTACAAAATACGAAGAAAAACAACAACAACAAAAATTAGCTGGGTGTGGTGGTGCAGGCCTGCAGTCCCAGCTACTCCAGAGGCTGAGGTGGAAGAAGTGCTTGAGCTTGGAGAGGCAGAAGCTGCAGTGAGCTGTGATTGCTTCATTGCACTCCAGCCTGGGCAACAGAGTGACTCCCTGTCTAAAAAAAAGCAAAACAACGAAACACCACCCCCCTAAATTTTATAAAGCAAATCTAAAAGCAAAAATGAAAATTGCCTAACAATAGCAAAATGGGACAGTAGAACTGATAAAATGTGGTATATTCATGTAACAATATATACATTCTTTTGAAAAATTAGCAATATTTTTAACTGTACATATATGATCTATTTCACAGTAAAAATGAATAAAATTATGATATGCATAAAAATAACACAAAAACATTTCTCACATTAGCATGTATATATTTATGGAAATGGGCTCTTGAATAACAGGACGTTATAAAATCTCACCTGTAGAATTTAAACCCTAAAGGTGATACTATATTTATACTTTGACAAATCATTTTCTGTAATCAACTTTATTTAGTATCACTTAAAAAAATGAATAGTACTTTCATTCTTATCCCTTTTAGTGCTTCCTAAATATTTTACTTTTGAAATGATAGGTCTTGGATATATTGGCTTGTTTTTTGTTATAAAATCTGTCATCTATAGCAAATGTTTTAATACAATTTGAGGCACATATGCACACCTCGGAATATGAGGAAAGAAAACAATCAGAAACTTTGCAGATTGACATTGTCTGTTTTCACAGTTGCTCTGTGGAAAGTTTGCTCTGAAGGACTGTTAGAGTTTAGAAAATGAGTTTTATAATTTCCATGCTGACAGCCAATTTTAGGGATGAATTTTACTTTTTTTTTTGAGACGGAGTCTCACTTTGTCACCCAGGCTGGAGTGCAGTGGCGCAGTCTCAGCTCACTGTATAAGCTCTGCCTCCCAGGTTCATGCCATTCTCTTGCCTCAGCCTCCTGAGAAGCTGGGACTACAGGCGCCCACCACCATGCCCAGCTAATTTTTTTTTTTTGTATTTTTAGTAGAGACGGGGTTTCACCATGTTAGCCACGATGGTCTCAATCTCTTGACCTTGTGATCCACCCGCCTAGGCCTCCCAAAGTGCTGGGATTACAGGCGTGAGCCACTGTGCCTGGCCGAATTTTACTTTCATATTGTGCTGTCTCCAACATAATTTTAAAAGGATTCTGGAAAAAAAAATAGTAAAATGCAAAACTATACTAATACTCTCAAGAAGCACCTCAAGCATTGATTAGCAAATGTATCTTATTATTTACAGAGTTAAATGACATTTCTAATGACCAAGGACTTTCTGAGTAAACATCCCTGGGGAGAAGATTTATTGCACCCTTCTGTGACCTCCCCACTCTGACTGCCCTCTCTTAGGCTGCAGTGTCTCTTGGCTGTACTCAATCATTGACTGAGCTGGCAAATATTCTGTTTATTATTGTCTAGGAAAGGCTGATGCGCTCCCTGACTTGGTAAAATGTTTCACTGCATCATTACTGGGCAATAAAAATAAGTTGAAATAACCGACTGAGTAAAACTATTAGGCACTTTGGGCAAAGCATGGCCTTTCTTCATGCCGCAGTGGGAAATCAATAAGATGCTCCAGAGGAGCCGAGTCTCTGGGGATACCTGTATGGTGCAATAAAACCAGCACATAAAGCAGTGGAAAAGGTAACGGCACTCATTTCGCACTGTTACAATTCCGTTGGGCAGAATGATGAAGGGAAGCTCCATAAAGGGTGGTCTATTTAAAATCGGTTCCTGAGTGTGATCTTTTATTTAGGCCTATCTGGAAGACATGCATTTCAGTCCTTAATTTGTAGTCTTTTTTCAACAACCCCATGAAACAAAAGGGATCCAGCATGGTGATACTGTTTCATGGTGATACAACCCCATGAAACAAAAGGGATCCAGCATGATGATCCAGCATGGTGATACATAATGATACTGTGTTATTTACCTGGAATTTGGTAAGAGAGCAGATTTGTAATGACTTCACTCCCCTCTGCCATCAACATGGTAACTATGTGTGATGTGATGGATGTGTTAATCAACTTGACTGTGGTAATCAGAACGCAGTGAATACCTATATCAAATCGTCACATAGTATACCTTAAATATACAGAATTTTTATTTGTCAAATAAATATTTTAATTTTTTTAAAAAAGGGATTTATGGCAGTGTAGCAGCAGTGGGTGGTAAGGTCTGGGTCAGGTTCAGCCCCAGGTGGGAGGTGGCGTCAGGGAGGAACCCAGTAAACAGCTCTGGCCTTGCAGGTGTAACACTTTAGGCCTCTGTCTTCCTGAGGCGTTGTTCCTGCATGTTGTCCCAGCGTCTTCCCTCTCTGTGTGTCTCTGCACCTCCATTTCCATTTTTCATAAGGACACTGGTCATATTGGATTGGAGCTCACCTTAATGACCTCATTTTAACTTGATTACCTCTGCAAAGATCTTATCTCCAAACAAGGTCACATTCTGGAGTTCATATGAATTTGAGGGAAAACAATTCAATCCATAATATCATCTCTGAAATAAGGACAACTTTACTTATGCATATACAATTTGGGTTGTGGTTGCTGCATATCTGTTTCAAATGGGTTATGGGCTCTTCTCACACTTTCAGGTCAAAGGGGACTTTGGAATCCATAGTGTACCTATGTATGCATATATGATCATGGATCAGCCTTCCCATTTCTGTCACTGTGTCCCTATATGGTTCATTATCATGTATGTTACTTCACTCGAAGGCCATACACAATCCAAACAAAATAAAACACAGAAACTGTGTTGGCTATTTTGACTTTCTGTTGAAACTATTCTCTTTGGTCATATATATATATTTTAAAAATATTATATATATATATATTTTTAAAAAACATTTTATATATATATATATTTTTTTTTCCAGTGATTATCCTGCCTCAGCCTCCCAAGTAGCTGGGATTACAGGCACCTGCCATCATGCCCGGCTAAATTTTTTTTGTGTGTGTATTTTTGTAGATACAGGGTTTCACCATGTTAGCCAGGCTCGTCTTCAACTCCTGATCTCAGGTGATCCGCCGGCCTCAGCCTCCCAGAGTGCTGGGATTACAGGCGTGGGCCACCACGCCTGGAGATAGATAGATAGATAGATATATATATATATATATATATATATATATATATATATATATATATATATATATATGTAATCTTTTTCAGTATATTCTCAGGGTGTGTTTGAGGAAAGCTTTTTTTTTTTTTGGCCATTGTCCAAGGGTTTAGAACTGAATGGGAATGTCTGTAAATGGATCTGATGGAGGTTGGAATGTGTATCAGCTTTTAATCATCACTGTAACAAATCACTAAAATATTCTCTTTATTATCTCTCACTTTAGAAGTGTGGGAGGGCTGGACTGATGACTCTGCTTATAGTCTTACAAGGACAAAATCAAGGTGCTCTTGGGCTCCTTATGAAGGCCCTAGGGCAGAATGTGTGTCCAAGCACATACAGGTTAGAGCAGAATTCAACTTCTTGTAGTTGTAGGAGTGAGGTCCCAATTCATCACTGGCTGGTAGTTGGGGCCTCTCAGCAATGTCAGGCTGCCTGCATTGCTCTTCATAGTGCCCAGTTCATTTTCTAAACCAGCAATGGTGCAGAGAGACATTCTCCTGCTTCTAGTTTCTCTGGCTTCCCCTCACCCACACCTCTCTTCTGTGTCTCTTCTGCCTCCAACCAGAGTTAAATCTCTTAAGTGCTCATGTGATTACATGGAGCCCACTGCATGAATCACGATCGTCTCCTAAGGTCTGCAACCTTAATTACATCTGCAAAATCCCTTATGTGATGTAACATATTCAGTTTCCAGGGCATCTTGGAGAGTCATTCTCATTCTTGCTGCCACAAAATATTCCTCATTCCTTCATGAAATGTTGTTTGCTTTCATATATTTGTCTCTAGAGAAGCATCAGGTATTTTCTCAACATCCCTTCATGTTAAAAACCCTCAACAAATGAGGCATTGGAGGACATACTTCAACATAGTAAGAGCCACCTATGACAAACCCACAGCCAGCATCATACTGAATGGGCAAAAGATGTGAAGCATTCCCCTTGAAAACTGGGACAAGACAGGGATACCCTCTCTCATTATTCCTACCCAACATAGTACTGGATGTCCTCGCCCGAGCAATCAGGCAAGAGAGAGAAATAAAAGGCATCTAAATAGGAGAAAAAGAGGTCAAACTGTCTCTGTTTGCAGATGATATGATTCTGTACCTACAAAACCCCATCGTCTCTGCCCAAAAGCTTCTCGATCTGATAATCTCAGCAAAGTTTCAGGATACAAAATTAATGTACAAAAATTAGTAGCATTCCTATATACCAACAACATGCAGGCTGAGAGCCAAATCAAGAATGCAATCCTATTCGCAATGACCACAAAAAGAATAAACTACCTAGGAATACAGCTAACCAGGGAGGTGAATGATCTCTACAAGAAGAATTACAAAACACTGCTCAAAGAAATCATAGATGACATACAAATGGAAAAACATTCCATAATCACGGATAGGAATAATAAATATGGTTTTTAACCATATTGGACCATACTGCCCAAAGCAATTTATAGATTCAATGCTATTCCTATCAAATCACCAATGGCATTCTTCAAAGAACCAGTAAAAACTATTTTAAAATTAATATAGAACCAAAAAAGAGCCTGAATAGCCAAGGGAATCCAAGGCAAAAAGAACAAATCTGGAGGCATTTCGTTAGCCAACTTCAACCTCTACTACAAGGCTATAGTAACCAAAATAGCATAGTACTGGTACAAAAACAGACACACAGACCAATGGAACAGAATAGAGCGCCCAGAAATAATGTCACACACTTAAAACCATTTGATCTTCAACAAAGTCGACAAAAACATGCAGTAGGGAAAGGACTCCCTATTCAATAAATGGTGCTGGGATAACTGGCTAACCATAAGCAGTTCCTAGACCCCTTCCTTACACCATATACAAAAATCAACTCAAGATGGATTAAAGAATAAAATGTAAAACGTGTCAGGTGCAGTGGCTCACGCCTATAATCCCAACACTTTGGGAGGGTGAGGTGGGAGGATAGCTTGAGCCTTGGAGTTTGAGACAAGCCTGGGCAACATAGCGAGACCTCGTCTCTACAAACAATAATAATAATAATAATAATAATAAATTAGCTGGATGTGGTGGCACGTGCCTGTAGTCCAGGCTAATCAGGAGGCTGAGGTGGGGGAACCTCTTAAAGCCTGGGAGGTTGAGGCTGTATCGTGTCATTGCACTCCAGCCTGGGCAACAGGTGAGACTGACTCTAAAGTCTCAAAAAAAAAAAAAAAAGTAAAGCCTATAACTACAAAAATCCTGGAAGATAACCTAGGAAATATAGGAAATGCCATTTTGGACACAGGACATGGCAAAAATTTCATGACAACGACACCGAAAACATTGCAACAAAAACAAAAGTTGACAAATGGGACCTAATTAAACTAAAGGGTTTCTGCACAGCAAAAGAAACTATCCACAGAGTAAACAGACAACCTACTGGAAGAAAATATTCACAAATTATGCATCTGACAAAGGTCTAATGTCTGGAATCTATAAGGAACTTAACAAGAAAGAAAAAAAACGTACCCCATTAAAAAACGGGCAAAGGACATGAACAGACACTTTTCAAAAGAAGACATACATGTGGCCAACAAGCATATGAAAAACTCCTCGGCATCACTAGTCATGAGATAAATGCAAATCGAAACCACAATGAGATACCATCTCACGCCAGTCAGAATTGCTATTATTTAAAAGGCGAAAAATAACAGGTGCTGGTAAAGCTGTGGAGAAAAGGGAGTGCTTATACACTGCTGGGGGAATTATACATTAGTTCAGCCATTGCAGCAAGCAGTTTCGTGATTTCTCAAAGAACTTAAAGCAGAGCTGCCACTCAACCCAGCAACCCCATTGAGTACACACCCAAAGGAATAATAATCCTTCTACCATAAAGACACACAGACGTGCATGTTCATTCACAATAGCAATGACATAGAATCAACCTAAATACCCATCAACAGTAGCGTAAAGAAAATGTACATATATACCATGGAATACTATGTAGTCATAAAAAAAGATGAGATAATGTCATTTCTAGCAACATGGATGGAGCTGGAGGCCATTATCCAAAGTGAACTAACACAGGAACAGAAAACCAAATACCATGTATTCTGACTTAGGAGTGGGAGCTTAGTATTGAGTACCCATGGACACAAAGAAGGGAACAATAGACACCACAGCCTACTTGAGGATGGAGGGTAGGAGGAGGGTGAAGATCGAAAAACTACCTACTAGGTACTATGCTCATTACCTGGGTGATGGAATAATCTGTACCCCAAGCCCCCATTACATGCAATTTACCTATATAACAAACCTGCACATGTATACCTCTGAACCTAAAATAAGTTTAAAAAAAAAAGAGAAGCAACACGTATTTTCTGAAGGAAATGGGAATTATATATGAATATACATTGTCAAAGACTATAATGTTTGAGATTTTCTATTGCTTATTTCATTAGTTTCTTTCTGGACCTATTCCATCTGGGCTAGCAGCTCTGAAAACAAAGTAGTGTGGATCAAACTCTGTCATCTGTTTCTGTCACACAGATTACAGCCCTCATCCTGAAGGAGGGACAGATTTCAGTCCCATCCTAATAAAAAAAAAATCTCTGTTCTGTTTACTGTTTTTTTCTACTTGGTTTGGAAAAATTTTGTTAGAGGCAATTGTCGATACCACATATGGCTGACAGCAGGTATAGGAGGTATCCTGGTACTCATACTTGGAAACCCTTAATTTGGCATCATCCTCAGCACATGAAATTTCTCAGATCACTAACAATCTTGGACCGATGATGATTCCTTAAGCCAACTTCGCTCTTCTGAAAAGGTTGGCGGGCATGTCTGCATTTTTCTGAGGACTCCTATGTTATCATCCACTCAAGATACACGAAGGCATTAACTAATTTTAAAAATCTTGGCCTGGCACAGTGGCTCATGTCTGTAATCCCAGAACTTTGGGAGGCCGAGGCAGTCAAATCACAAGGTCAGGAGATCGAGACCATCCTGGCAAACATGGTGAAAACCCCGTCTCTACTAAAAATACAAAAAATTAGCTAGATGTGATGGTGGGTGCCTGTAGTCCCAGCTACTCAGGAGGCTGAGGCAGGAGAATGGCGTGAACCGGGGGGGCAGAGCTTGCAGTGAGCCGAGATCGCGCCACTGCACTCCAGGCTGGGGGACACAGCGAGACTCCGCCTCAAAAAATAAAAATAAATAAATAAATAAAAATCTTAAGCTCTTCAGTTTTACTTTGTGTCTGCTTAGAGGAAAAAAGCATCCAACTACAGATATAAATGTATCCATTAATAAAAGGTAAATGGAGGCACAAAAGTTTATTTGAGCTAACAGTGATTCATGAATCACTGTTGAAGCAGCTTCAAATGGGAACTGGTTCAGGGACCCTTTCAAGGGAACAAAAAGGGACAGCTTCTGTAAGGTAAATATAGTAGCAAATTTTTCACTGGTTGTACTTATACAATTGCCTTATTTGGTTGATCCTGCTGGAAAGTCTCTAGTTATATAAGTTAATTGGCTTCTGATTGGTTAGCCTTAAGTTTGACTTTTTTTATTTTTAAAGACATTTACAAGAAATAGCTCAAGTTTTGCTTATATTGGTAAATCAAGCAAAGTTAACGCCACTTAAAAGGCTTTGTCTGGTCAGAGATACCTCAGGCCATTTTAATTTTCTTTAACAATTTAAATACACCTGTGTGCCAGAGGACAGCTCAGTGAAGTCTTTGAATGTCTGTGGCTGTATATTTGGAAAAGTATATATTCTTTGCGAAATACCACAAATACTGATGAGGTAAAATGCAATGTACAGGACTGCATGTATATAACAAGTCTCTATTACTAGATCTATACTTCTGTTTACATACAATTTTTATTACTAAGAAAGGCTGAATATATTTACCTTTCCAGTAAGAATTACAAGTAATTAAGTTACCTCAGTAACACTTCAGTGTTTAGGTACAGTGCAAGTGGCTCTCTGTATCTGTGTCCAGCATGGAATTTCATACCTAGTTGAAAACTTTCTTACTCGAGAGTGAGTTTTCTTATCATATATGTGGTGATATGGGATGATAACAGAATGTTGTAATGTACAGGCATCCATGCCCCCAAGTGATAAGTTTTCTCACATGATTGTTTCTCTTAACTGTGGTTTCCAGATATAAAAGCTTAATCTTTGGATTCACAGGAGCATTCTAGAATACATAGCAGGGTTTTGCTGTTATTCCTAGTGGTTCTTTTAATTTAAAAAAATCCAAACTTCCTTTATAATCAAAAGATCCACTTGTTCCCATTTCTTTAGCTGTATGAGTTCTCATAGTCAGTTTGGGCTGCTATTAACAGAATCCCATGAACAGAGTGGCTTACACAACAAACAGTTATTTCTCTCAGTCTGGATGCTGGAAAGTCTAAGTCTGAGTTTGAGGCAAAGCAGATGCAGTGTCTGCTTCACAGACCACAGTGTTCGCCTTATAACTTCACATGGCAGGAAAGGCAAGGGAGTTCTCTTGGGCCTCTTTTATAAGGGCACTAATTCCATTCATTAGGGCTCCACCCTCCTGACTTAATTACCCTCCAAAGCCTCCTGACACCATGACTTTGGGGTCAGGATTTCAACATATGAATCTGGGGTGGGGAAGCAAACATTCAATACTTTGCACCAGTGTAACACCAATTATACTGGATTCATTTAATATGTTTGTCTCCTATTAATTAATATTTGTTTACATTGTCAATGTTTTGAAAGTACTTCATAATCAGTATATTTCCTATTACGCCTTCTCCATGTAAAAAATATTTATCCATCTATCTATAAACTGAGCTGTGTACTAATAATGATTCAATAGTATAGATTTAGATGTAGACTTAAATATATAAGTAATATTTTATGTAAGCCAATGACTTCAGACAGTACGATTTGTTTTGTTTTTATGAGCTAACTGTTAGAAGTATAAATGGATTTATTTGTTGTAGAGATATGACTATGATATTGTTTGAAAGTTTCCACTTATTTACTACATGTAGCTCAAATATATTTTTCTTTTAATGTTAAATGAAAATATGAAGTTATTTAAACAGCAAGTAAACTTTCTGCAGATACTTATTTTTGTATTGGGAAGAAAAACTGATTAAATGTTTCATGTTTTTTATAAACTCAAAAGGTATTAATTTCATGGCTAGAGATAAATTATTTCTTAGTATCAACTTGGTTTAAATTTGACTAGAGACTCAAAATGCAAAGCAATAAAGATAAAAAGTGGTTCCACTGCCAGTGTCATTCAGTTGCCTTCTCTTACCTCCAAAATAATAGGTGTCACCTGAATCAATGAGCACAGCCACCAGGGGCTGAACAGCTGTGTCATCGTCCACCACCACATTCATATGGCTCCACTTGGCAGAGAAGGACACAGAGTGCCACTGCCCATCGTTTAATCCAGCACCTGGAGGAAATACAATCAGTCAGAGACAACTCTAAATTATGAGCTCTGTAAACACTTGAAAACAATTTGATTCAGATCACTGAATAAGTCAGAGAAGAGTGGTATTTACATGTTCATGTATCACTGAAAAAAAAATTAACCACCTATCTTTAATTTAAAAATTTCATTTATTACGAAAATAACACATGAATAAAAATATTACTCTTTCTGAAGAATCACTGTAACAAATTCTGGTAATTTGCTTAAAGTAACTAGAATTTAATTATCAAATATATACAGTAGGAGCCTTTACAATGGGATAAAAACAACACAGTTTGGTTTAATCTTCAAATGCAAAACTTACTTGCTTTACTGAATCTAACAAAAACATTTTACAAGAATCAAGAAAGTGAGTTGATAAAAAATACGTCAAGAATGATTGTGAAAAGTTTTTTTTAGAAAAAGTTGACACATAATTGCACATACTTATGGGGTGTGACAGGATTTGAAATGGACGATCACTGGATGTCTGGCTTACTGCACCTATTAATTAAGGTAAACCCTGCTTTCACTGTCTGAGCTATTTTACAGCCCTGTAAATTGTAGAAAACTGATAGTAATGCAAAATGACTTGTACCCATAGAAATACAAATGACTAGTGCCTGGCGAGGTGCAGTTGCTTACTGAACCATTTCATATCTGTCTGTAATTCATTTTGGCATTTCTTATCTGCCTGTATGTGTAGTACTTTGAATTATCCTCCGAACTGATTGTAACATCTTACTGGTTTCTTCATAGATTAGTTAAAATCTTTAACATATATTCGTGTGTTTCTGAATTAACAAATTATGATTATAGATATAATTATACTGTCTTTTAAAAGTTATTATTCGCTGGGCATGGTGGCTCATGCCTGTAATCCCAGCAGTTTGGGATGCTGAGGCGGGCAGATCACCTGAGGTCGGGAGTTCAAGACCAGCCTGGCTAACATGGTGAAACCACATTTCTACTAAAAAACAAAAAATTAGCTGGGCATGGTGGCACTAGCCTATAGTCCCAGTCACTTCGGAGGCTGAGGCACAAGAATCACTTGAACCTGGGAGGTGGAGGTTGCAGTGTGCTGAGATCACACCACTGTACTCCAGTGTGGGTGACAGAGTGAGACACTGTCTCAAAAAGATAAAATAAAATAAAATAAAGCTATTATTTAATATTTGATAAAAAATGCTTAGGAAAGAACTGGAGTTGTACTTTATATATGTGCAATATTTTTATATATTTACACTCACATCCACATTATTTTATGATTCTTAGTAGTAATTATGAAATTAATCCTGTCAAATAATTTGGTAACAAAATGAATTGTCTTTGATGGTAAAGTTAAATGTTAAGGTATTTAAAATCACTAGAGGTATTCTGTGCTTTCTTTTACCTGATAATATGTCAAAGATACATGCCAATAAATGGGCTAAAAATAAGATTAGCTTCATGAGGCCTATTAAATTAACTTTGCACTGAAGTTTAAAATTAGGCCAAGATTGAAACTATTTCAGAAGTTACATATATCATAATAAACTTTAGACTAATAGAAATTTTCCTATAAAGTTAACATTTTACTTGATAGTCCTGGGAAACCTGTAAATTATTAAAATGACTCTATGCTTCATTTATTTTTCTTCCTAACATGCATTTATGTGAAGTTAGTATATTATTACCATTTCAAATGTAGTACTTCTTAAAAATTAAACATTAACATTAATATTTTAGCTTTCCCTTTTAACCTTCAGTGATGTATGAAACAGAAACAGAAGTAGTAATAAAGTGTAAGGAAATAAATTATTCTTTAAAATCAACCAAGATTCTGGATGTCTTCAATGTAAAACTAGGCATTGTCTAAACACAATCTGGAGGATTATATGATTCTGCAGGTTTCTGTGCCTTTTACCTTGAGTTTTTTTTTGTTTTTGTTTTTGTTTTTTGAGATGGAGTCTCGCTCTGTCACCCAGGCTGGAGTGCAGTGGTGCCATCTCGGTTCACTGCAAGCTCCGCCTTCCGGGTTCAAGCCATTCTCCTGCCTCAGCCTCCTGAGTAGCTAGGACTACAGGCACCCGCCACCACGCCTGGCTAATTTTTTTGTATTTTTAGTAGAGATGGGGTTTCACCGTGTTAGCCAGGATGGTCTCAATCTCCTGACCTCGTGATCTGCATGCCTTGGCCTCCCAAACTGCTGGGATTACAGGCGTGCCACCACACCTGGCCCCTTCTTTGAATTCTTTTACCACCCTGTGAATTGTAGAAAATTGAAAGCAGGCAAATGATTATTGTCCATAGACATGCAAATGAATTTTGTCTGGCAGGAATACAATTGAACTTCTTCCTGGTTCCTCTACCCCATCCCATGGAATAAGCCAGTTTTACATTATACACAAAATCATTGCAGCAGTAACATCTTACTGATTCTCTCATAAACTAATGAGTTAAACAAAATCTTTGACATGTTCTTTTTATAACTGCAAAAAGTGCCCTCTTTAAGAATATCTTTTGACAAATAAAAGCAGATCTTTGTATAACTGTTTTCATGTCTATCATCCACATTTGTTTTATTTTTGTTTTCTATTAGGTTGTATTTGGCCTTTGGCCATAGTTTATGCACAAGAAAATCAGATACAGTAGAATCTATAAATATTTCAATGAGAAGTTACTAAATTAATTGCCCACAACATAGATGTTATTTTAAACACATTTGATATGAAGATGATCTCTTGTTAACAACTACAACATTTTAACTGCAGAGGCAAAATATCACACTCACAAAGCCATGAGCTAAAGCAAAATCCTGATGAGATTTAAGAACTTTAATTATATTTAATTCTAGTTATTGTGCAACCCAGAACTGGATGAAGTGCTTGTTCAGCACTTCATTGAATCCAGAATATATGCAACTCATCAGCAGTAAAACTGAACCAACTACTATAGGAAAAAAATTGAGGGCAGTCTTTGCAATGGGCAAAGGAGATTACTGGGTATCTTTTCAATGGAAAGATTAGCTGATATTACGGGATTGTAAACCATCATCTTGGACTAGGTTACTTTACAGCTGTGTAGTGACAGAAGTTAACTTGCAGAACATTGATAATAATGCAAATAATGCTTGTCCATAGAGATGCAAAGTGTGTACAGGGAAGGGATTTGCCTTTCCCTTTGGATATTGACAAGTTTAGCTAGTCGGCATCTCTTTTCTGACTATAAATGTGTGGTACTTCTTTAAACAGGCCTTACTGGTGTAAGGGTAAACACAAACCAAAACAAACAAAAGCTTTCTTAGTGCTAAAAGGGATACACACTTTCATTCACTTTTTTTCCTTAGAGCATTTCTTTCAGAAAACTTGTAATTGTACATCTTTAAAATCTTAAAACAAAATCTTATTTAGCCTCTTTCTTGTTTCCAGGAGTGTTTTTCTTGAGGACCTTGGAGACATTTCTTTGAAATGTAAACACCAAGAAAGGCAGTGCTCCTATCTCCTTGTCTCCGTGGGAGTTTAACGTAGGTGCCTGGCTCCAAGTTGCAACTACCCACTTGTCAAAGAGACATGGAGTTTAGTTTTCCTTTG
This sequence comes from Homo sapiens, assembly GCF_000001405.40. NCBI lineage: Eukaryota > Metazoa > Chordata > Mammalia > Primates > Hominidae > Homo > Homo sapiens. The sequence continues at coordinate 61,449,296 of NC_000009.12, read as the reverse complement.
CATAAAGGAGTGTGCCTCCCCAATCACCAGGTGAATGTAAGATGGGCTGTGTAGCAAACGGCGCTGTCAAGTCCTCTTACTTGAGGACAAGCTGTCCTTTATCTTTAGAACATGTATGTAATGGGTTGTATCTGCCTGGCTATATAAATGGATGAAATTTCTTTATCTTTGCAATCACATTAGCGATTGCCTGAAATGTACATCACAGTCTGGCTTAATACTTATTCCATAATAAGATTATTTCATTTCTACCTTGTGAAACTGATTCACTATGTTGGTGGGCCATTTTATCTTTACTTATTTCCCTAACACTGGTTCTCTCATCAATGAGTTAAAGAAAATCTCTGACATGTGTTCATTCTGTATCTGTGTGTAGGTCACGATTTTAACCTTTCTTGGAAAAAATCTTATTCGTGAGGAAATGGAAACTAGGTTTGCATTTCTAAAAGATAAAAAATATACGTCCCCTCTGAATATCTGTTTTATCTCCCCTGAAACACCTGTGTGAGGTGGACATAGATTCTAACACCCAGGACTTGCCTGATTGTTCCAGAAGTACTGAGATAAGGCCCCGCCCTCTGAATTTCTTCACGGGTCTTGAAATCGTGCTTTTATACCACAACATTTAATAGCAGTATAGTCACGTGTGCCTCTTACAGCCAAAAGGAATCTTTTTTTGAGTATGATTACCCCCTGGTCTCAAGCAGAAGTCAGCCTCTTCGTCTGTGCCTTTTTCTTTTTCAGATTACGCTTTTTTTTTTTTAAAGCCCCCATTTAGTTCCGATGCCAATTTAGGCACAATGTCAATTTAGGACCCAGTGCTCCTCCCATCTGCAAATCCAAAATCATCAAAATCCAGCAGCTCTGTAGTTAACAAACTTGCCCACATCTGACTGCATGTGAGATTAGTTCCCATCTATTGTAACTCAGTCTGGCTTCATGGGATTTGAGCCCCTAACCTAGCATTTGCCCAACAAAAACAGGCCCTGATGGGGAGTGGGGATGTGAGGGCCTGTGTGTGGGGTGGGCATTGTGCTAATAAAATCAGACTTCCTATTGTTCTCCCTGCAAAGGAGATCTGAGGTTTACCACTTCACAAGTGAAAACAGCTGAGGCTTAGGAGGCTTCGTGATTTACATTTCAGAAGGGCAGTAAGTGGAGGAGCTGAGATTCTTCCAGGGTGCCCAGCTATCCCAGAAAACGAATCAGCCATCAACGAAAGAATAAGAACTCTTGGTATTTGCCGGGCATCTTTCCCTGTAAAGTGATAGTTATCAATTGCCTACTGTGTATAGAATATTTGTGCACAGACCCTGAGCGGCGGGGCGGAGAAGGGAAAGGAGGAGGAGGACAGGAGAGGAATGTGCCTCTAGGTATTGTCTGTTCCATGAGGTCCTGACCCTAGTTCTTTGGGATGGAGGCTGGTATATGTTTGTCAGGAAATGGAGCTCAAGGATATTCCTTGTATATGGGAAGGTATGTCTGCAGAAATATGCATTTCATATTTCTCATACATAGTCATTTTGGTCAAAAGAACACTTTAGTGGCAGCGGGGTGTACCACACAGAACAGTCTAAAAGGAAACAGCAATCTGTTCCTCTAGTGGGGGCATGGAGCATCTCACTGCCTCACTCACTCACTAATTACCAAATGATTTCCGTGTGGATATGTCAGGTTTATGGGAATACAACTGTTACCTGCTGTGACATTCCTTGGTGACTGTCCCGGCTGGAAGAGACTCAGTTTGAGCTTGCCATCCTTAAGAAAGAGGACGAAACTCCCTGAACCACGTCGAAGTTCGCCGAAAAGCAAATGTCCTGCTCTGTTCCACGTTCGAAATTGAAAAGTGACAGACACTTTGTCCTCCCCAGAGTTGCCTGGCAGAGCCAGATAACTCCTGGAGCTCAGAAAAGTCACAGGGACAGTCTGTGGCTGTGGACATGAGAAGGACACATTTCCCTATAAATAAAACAAAAGAGCACATTGAGCAGCCTTACAGGTGGTGCTTCTATCTAATTAAAGCCAGATTTTACGAAGACGTACAAGGCTTTTTATCAATCCAGGATTAGTCTGCCTGCTAAAGCTGAAATCTATAACATTTATCTTCTCTTTCAACATAAGTATTATTATAATTGGGCACACATCCATGTGGCTTTCTGTGTGTGTGTGAGAAATTCTCCACTTCTCTACTTCTCAGCATTAGTAAAGGAGTCTCAATATAATTTTAGTTCAACAGGAGTTTAATCTATGCCAGCTATTTTCCAGGCCCTGTGCTAGCCCTGAGGATACAGCAAATAACAGGACATTTTCATACTCAGTCTTTCTCCTGAGCAACATTTGGTCTTCTCTACACAATCCTCAAAATCTCTTTTGAACCAGCTTACTATTTTACTGGTTCCCTCATTAATGAATTGACTAAATCTTTGACACATGCTTATTTGATATTTGTATGGGTCATATTTTTAGCTGTTGGAAAGTTATATTTGACAGCCTTTCAAATGGTTTTCAGATCTAATAGTTATATGCAATGTTTGCATATAGTATTTTTAGCATGAAAACATTGATGTTTTTATATAGTCAATTATGTCTATATTGTATTTTACAGCTTCTGAGTTTCCAATCTTTGTTAAGAAAGTTTCATACTACCCTAGGTCCTACATACAATCTCATAGATTTTCTTTAAGATTGTTGTTTGTTTCTCATCCTCTTTAATTTACATATTCTTAGTGTGTATAAGATAGTGATCATGCTTATTTTCTGCCTTATGGACACTTGTTTGTTCCGGCAGAATTTCAGAAATAATTCATCCCTGTTCCACTGAATTGAGCCACATTCCTTGTTACTAACAACTTTGCACATAAACTGGGATCTTTCTGAGATCTTGACTGTTCTACTGACTTCTCTGTTCCTATCCACTACCATACTGATTCTAGTATAGAAGCTTTTAGTATGCTTTAATATCTGGTAAGTCAACATCTTACTAGGTTTTTAAATGGTTTTTGTTTGTTTGTTTGTTTTGCTTTGTTTGGCTGGTGAAAGGAATAAGCAATTCTTGGGCATTATTCACACATAGGAATTTCAGTTCCAGAGAAAAACCCCAGTAATTCTGATTTTACTTGGAATTTCCATGGATTTATTTCTAATATACTATAAATGATTTTAGAAAAAGAATGTTACTGGAGCAGGACAGATAATCTAGGGTAGTGGCTCTCAAACCTAGCTAAACAGTCGAATCACCAGAAGGGCTCTTAAAATCCAGATACAGACCAATTAAAATCCCGATCTCTGGAGGTAGAGCCAGGTAATGGTATCTTTTGAATCTCCTCTGGTGACTCCAAGATAAAGCCAAGTTTAAGAACCACACTGATCCAGTGGTAAAACAATTTTCAAAACAGAATCACATTTTTAAAAAATTCTGTCCCAACATACTTTAGAAATGGATATAATTCAGTTATCATTTTATAATAATCTTTAATACACATTCTAACTGTATACATCAATCAGAACATTTCTTCTTGACTATTTTTGTAATTCTGCCAAATGGGAAACAGTTTTCATGACAAGAAAACATTTGCAGAAGAAAATTTAAAAAAGAAAACATTTGCTGTAACAAACTAAATACCAAAAGCTTACAAGTAATTGGCACTGATCCATAGTACACATGTAATCACTGGACTATTACATATTTTTTATCTTTTTATCAGCTGTATATTTCTTGACCTCATCATTTAGGTGGGTAGCTGCCTGCTACAACAGAGAGGCAGGGCTTCTTGCCACAGAGGAGTGCTTGTTAGTTGACTGAATGAATTCTGGCAACTGATTTTCCCAACAAAATACATTTTTAAATGTTTTCCTTTTATATATTGGAACAACTATTTTCCTGTTTTTATACAGAACACATAGAATTGTAGTAATTCTTAAAATGGAATTCCCATAATTAACATTATATATCCATATGCACAATTTGGAATGAATTGTCTTTTTGTTTTTGTGTGAAACTTACACATTTTAATAACCTCATTCAATGTAATTAGTAAATAGTTTTCTTGAGGATGATATCCAGAACCCAGAGATACCAGCTTAATTGTGGTTCTCCTTATTGGCTATACTCAATAATTCCATCAGTGAACCCATCAGTAATTCAGAATAACATGGAATGTATATGAAAACCTGTGTCTGTTGTCCTCAAATAGTCTTGTCTCTTTGTGTCATAAGGCCCAACTCACTCTTCCTCACTTCAATGACAGTGTCTTTGTAAATAGCCCCATAGAAGTTAGGGTGAGGAGGAGGGATTCTTCTGAACACCAAGGACTGGCAGATAAAAGGTAGCTTAATATTCAGAACGTGTTAGGTCAGGCTTCTTGACACGGATGCCCATTGGCCAAACCCATCTTTGTATCTGTATCTGAGTAACGCATCTCCAACAAAGCCAACTTCAATAACCAGGTCTTTTTTCTTTTTCCTGTTGAGCAGCACTTAAATGTCAGTTTCTCCATGGACAGAAACTTTAGGTAGAGGGCTGTTCCATTTATCTCCTTCCTCTTTTCATTTCTTTTTCATCTTGTCAAAGGAAACTGCACTCTGTGGAGCCTTGTTATCACTCTTCCCTTTGGTGTTTCCTTTTTCATGTATCTTGATGGTATTTTTCATTTTTATGATCTCAGCAGGGTGCTGTTCATAGTAAAACTTAGACTTCAAACCCATCTTTTTTTTTTTTTTTTTTCTCCTTTACCTTCTTGGAAAGTTCATGGGCTTCACAGCTGTTTTTCCCTTTTTCTCATGCTAACCTAAGTGATGTATTCATTGTGTGGTCTGGTGACACACAGTCAGAGATATTTTCAGGTTTTGGTCCTGCAACCCATGAGCCAACTCCTCCAGCACATAACAGGAAAGAAAACATGTTCCCAACAATACAAATAAATATTCCCATGATGTGCTGCTGAGATACACTGACAACTAAACATGAGCTTTCCCTTTAACCCAAACTTGGATATTTCAAACTTTAAACATTGAAAGAAGTTTATTAACTGATTTGGAAGTATTTCCAGTTGATTAGGGAATAGATCATTAGGGATTGCCATTGCAAAATGATTGGTCTCCTGTGGATAACAACACCAAAAACACGTGAGACATATGAATTCTGATTTCCATGTAAAAATAGAAAGTTATTTTATTTCATATAAAAATGAAACAACGATGTCCCATGAGGCATATTTACTTTATAACTTTTTATGCATAATAAAAATTACTATATTAGGCTGGGTCAAGGTGGCTCGTGCCTGTAATCCTAGCATTTTGGGAGGCCGAGGCAAGTGTATCGTCTGAGGTCAGGAGTTTGAGACCAGCCTGGCCAATGTGGCAAAACCCTGTCTGTACTAAAAAAAATTAGCCGGGTGTGGTGGCACACACCTGTAGTCCCAGCTACTCGGAAGGCTGAGGCAGGAGAATGGCTTGAACCCAGGAGGCAGAGGTTGCAGTGAGCCAAGACTGTACCGCTGCACTCCAGCCTGGGCAACAGAGCAAGACTGCATCTCAAAACAAAAACAAAAACAAAAACAAAAAAAGTGCGCCTGTGGTCCTAGCACTTTGGGAGGCCGAGGTGGGCAGATCACGAGGTTGGGAGATCGAGACCATCCTGGCTAACATGGTGAAACCCCGTCTCTACCAAAAATATAAAAAATTAGCCGGGCATGGTGGTGGGAACCTGTAGTCCCAGGTACTCGGGAGGCTGAGGCGGGAGAATGGCGTGAACCCAGGAGGCAGAGCTTCACTGCACTCCAGTCTGGGCGACAGAGTGAGACTCCGTCTCAAAAAAAAAAAAAAAAAAATTGGCCCAGGCCCAGTGGCTCACACCTGTAATCCCAGCACTTTGGGAGGCCGAGGCAGGCAGATCACCTGAGGTCAGGAATTCGAGACTAGCCTGGCCAACATGGCGAAACCCCGTCTCTACTAAAAGTACAAAAATTAGCTGGGCATGGTGGCGGGCGCCTGTAATCCCAGCTACTCAGGAGGCTGAGGCAGGAGAATTGCTTGAACCTGTGAGGCGTAAGCTGCAGTGAGCTGAGATTGCGCCGCTGCACTCCAACCTGGGAGACAAGAGGGAGACTCTGTCTTAAAAATAAATAAATAAATAAAACTAAATTACTATATTACATGGGCAGCTGTTAAAGTAAGAACTGATTCTTAAAATATTAGATGAAATGGAGACTTCACATGAATAATTTTTAAATGCAAAAAATAAAATGTCCTTTTTTCTTTCCTTCCCATTAGGCTTCCTTACCATCATGAGGATCTGTGGTTTGTGTTTCTTGGCTAATTCGGTAACATCCACTCCATTATAATAAAGATTTTCTAAACACCCATGAAAGCTTTTACGTCTGAATGCCCGCGATCTTCCGGGTGTCGGAATTCCCCCAAAGCTGATCTTAGAAAGAAAAATGACATAAATAACATTGTTTAGTGATTTTCTGATGGTACGTGTTTAAAGCATTTATAATTAATAGGTCTAGTACTAACTGTCACAAATCCATTCCCATTATCTTATATTTGCATGCTTGCTTATTCCAAATGAAGTGTTCTATCATAATGACAGCTGTTAATACCTTTATTTCTGGCACCACACAGTTTTGAACAAACTTAAAAGGAAGAAGTCAACACACATTTTCTGCCACATTGAAATTTTCAGCCATGTAGTAAATTTACCCTTTGTGGGTCATATGATCTCTTTTGCAGCACTCAACTCTGACACGAAGTACCAATGTGGCCACGGACAATACATAAAGAAAGAGAACATGTTCCAATAAAACCTTCTCTTTTGAACAAAAACAGGCTTTGTATTTTTTTAATTAAAAAATGTCCAAACTTGGCCTGATGCCCATAGTTTGCCAACCTCTGCATTAGATATTATCTTTTGCTATTACATGGTTAAATTAAAGTAATAAAACTGAATAATCCGGTATAGGACTAGGATCTTCAGTTTAATATTATATGCCAAAGCCACTTACGCCAGTAAATATCACAGTTTTTCTGGTTTGTTATGATCCTTCATACACTTTAAGGTGTCCTGTAAAGGACTGAAAGAATAGATGCTATTTAACAGTGTAGCTTAGATACATATGGGCAATGGGTTGCAAAAAGCATTAATGACTTAAAAAATATCAGGATATTATTTATATGTGAGCATCTGACTTTTCTTGTTATTTAATAAATCTATTGGTGTATATCTTGTTAACTTCTCAAAGTGATCCTAAATAATGCTATGTTGGTTAGGATTGCACCAAGACAAGAAAAAAAATCCCCCAGGAATCTGCATAGTCAAACAACAAGTGTAATATACCAGATGAAATTTCAAATGAAATATATTCAAATGAGTACATTTAATAACAATGCTTGCTACTTTGGTATTTCTGCATTTGTGGATTTCCTAAACCTAACACTGACTGTTTACTTCTTTCCAAGGTGGAAAAGATGATCTATTATAATAAACTGACCTATTAGAAGGCATAAACAGTTTCATAGTACCGGGACAGACATACCATACCTATTACTATTAGTCAACTTAGTTATGAATTACTATAAAATGGCATTTCTCTATGCAGCTACCTTATTTTTCAGGTTATATTTAATTTAAACTATATATCTATAATAACCTCAAAATTAAGATCCAAGTAACTGGAATCTCCCTTTGCTTGGAAATGATGAGTGTGTTTGTCCACGGTGAAGTTGACCTGCGTGTCGAGGAGCTCGATGAGGACGGAATGCCAGTGCTGGTCGTCCAGCAGGCTGCCCAGGGTGAGGGTCACAGGAGCAATAGTGGAAGGCAGCTTAGCATTGCCTTAAAGGAGAAGGAAAAAAACAGTTATTTCTGTTCAAAATCACAGCTTCCCTTTTTTAGTTGAGCATCACAGTTTGCATCCAACTTTCCATCTTACAGAGTTGTTTTCTCACTTTCTCCCTATCTTGAACACAATAACCTTACCCTGTTTTTATTTTTTTTAAGTTCAATTCTACACTTTGTTGAAATTTTTCTTAGTATTTTTTCTATTACTCATGACATTTGGATTTACAATGCAAATATTTTCTTTCTTAGAACCTCATTATCAGCATTATCTCATAATTTTATAATGATGTATTGTCTTTATGATATGGATAATCATATATTACATATATATTATACACACATATGGTGATCTTGCACAGTTTGTCAAAATATATGCTGTTTACAGAAATCATACTTAGGATATGTATGTATTGCATGCATCTGGTAGTAATGCTCTTAAACTTTCATTTACATTTGTTCATTGCAGTTCTACTTTGCACTTACTGTCCCAGAGTAACTATCACTTGTGTATTTTTTATTTCTTAAAGGTGTTCTGGTTTAGATGATGAATTATATGGTCATTTTATCTAACTGTGAAAAGACTGAGTACCAACAAATGTAAACAGATTTTTTTTAACTACTGGTATAAAAGTTCAAGTATTTTTTTACCTGAATTAAGAAAAAAGACAAGCTTTCCTTTAATTAATTCCAGAGTAATGTGATTTCCATGTTGTCCTTCTCTGTGAAGTAGAATTCCATTGCTCTGCATGGCTTTAAATTTCAAAGAAATAACGTCTCTTATTGGTTTTAAAGGTTTTTTATCAAGTCTATACAGCAGAGCACTTTGTCCATCAAAATAAACCACCTCAGATTCTAGGAAAGAAGATATTAGAAAGCAATTCTAAATATAAATATGTCATACAGTAGCACATTGAAAATGTGTGCATCAATATGCCACACCACACACACATAGACACACATTGTATTTCTAAGCCATTCATTGAAGGAAACAACTGACAATAATATATTTTCTGGTGGCATCATGAGTTGATATATGTAATATCCACCGTTAGAATTTTCTAACATTTTCTCAAACTTCATCATCTAGAAATGCTTTTATTAATCTACTCCCAATGGCTCTTATCTTTAGAGCAGCCCATTTCTTCTCATTCTGTTTGATTAAAAACAATCAGGAAAGAAGCTGTATTTCACTACATAAATTATTTATTTTAAGGTCATTCTTATATTAAATATCAGTGTCACTCAATTTAAATACCTTTGTTCATTCCCAGTAGCTTTGGCTTCTCTTGATTCTTACACATGTACCTACTTTACTAAAGATTTTGTCTGTAAAGATACAGAAACACATATCATACTTATTAAATACTGCTTTAGACATGTAATAAATGTATTTTAAATGAGCTGACATGTAATATTTTTCTCAACCCTTGGCTAATGGTACTGCTAATGGGCACTGCAATGTGTCAACTTGGCTAGGCCATGGTAAACAGCTTTTGGTCAAACACTAGTCTTGATGTTGCAGTGCAGGTATTTTTTAGAGGTAATCAATATTAAATCAGTAAACATTGAGTAAAGCAGGTTAAACTCTATAACGTGGGTGAGCCTCATCCAATCAGTTGAAGGCTGTAAGAGAAAGAAAGAAAACTGAAGTTCTCTAGGAAAGAAGGAATTTTGCCTCCAGACAACCTCTGGACTCCAGCTGCAATATCACCTCTTACCTAGGACTTGCCAGTCCTTACAATCAGGTAAGCCAATTCCTTAAAACTCTCTCTCTCTCTACACACACACACACACACACACACACACACACACACACACACAGGCACACAGACATCCTATTGGTTCTGTTTCTCTGGAGAGCCCTGTCTGACAAAGGCACAGAGGTTTTGTTTTCTTGGATGCTTTGTTGAGAGAGCATGGCCTTAACACCTCTGTTTTGGTTCTTCCTGCTGTAGCTTGTCAGAACTCCAATGCTGCCACACTCTCTCAGCACTCTGTCAGGGTCTTATAAATTCACTATAAATGTCACATATGTTCAGCTCATCAAAAAACAAGTTGTTTCATTTTATCAGTAATATAAAATAATATTTGATAATATTTGTCAAAATCACATGAAGAAATTAATATTACCCAGAAAATCTCTTCTTTTTAAAAGTAAAAAGAAAAATAAGCAATTGTCCTTTGAAAAATATATTTATTTAATAAATGAAGATGCATGAAAACCTAGTGAAATATGAAACTATTTGAAGCTGACTAGCTGATGTCATTCAAGCCAATAAGATGGCATTGTTTAATTATATTTAATTTCACAAAAATATTACTAGTACTTTTTGCATGGCTATCCATTTCATTCACATTATCTGAAATACATATAATAAACTGCACTTCAAAAGTTCTCCATTTTATGTATCATTTTAAAATTTAGAAGTTTGATTTTCTCACATTGGGTTAATGTACTTACAAGGAATTAATGTATCAAGTGCATGATGAATAAACACATTCTGAGTAAAATATGTGTAAATTAAACAATTATTCCTTGTTACATAACTTATTATATGTTCATGATAAAAACAAAACTCTCTGTCAAATGTAAATGAAGACATCTAAGATTATTATTACCTGGCCATGAACTAAGGGAAACCTGAAAAAGATTGACTACAGACTTTCACATTTTTAGCACTGCCCTAATACTTATAATCATGTCTTTATTTGTTGCTTAAAGAAAATGCTAATATTTGAGCTATTTTTTTTTTTTAGTTGACTAACAAAAAAAGTTTTCTTCCCGAAAAGGTTTTTTCTGGATTATTGCAACCTATACATTTCTTTTTCTCATTCTATGTTTACTATTACTCTCCAACAGCAGTATTGATCTTCTAAGGCATGTGAAGTACAGTTCCTGGAATGTTTCCCTCAGGCAAATAGAATAGTAAAACACTTATCAAGTAAAAGAGACATAAAGCAATGACCTTGAAACTCTTTTGTTCTTTAGCTAATACCTTGATTTTTTCTTTACTGTAATCGCTAGTGCTTGTATCTAGAAATTTAAGAATATACTTATAGCTCATTATGCATATTTTAAAATAAAAGCAGATTAATGAATTGCAAATCCAAACTTTCTAAAAATCATTAAACATTCTATGATTTATGAAGTCAATACATAAAAATATGAAACAAAAAATGATGTTTGGGATGGAAAGCATTGAGTTCAATAAGTCAACAGTAACGAGCCCACCAAGATCAGCACTGGAGAGGGACAACGCCCATGTAGTCCCTCTTGAATAAGATCCTCCCACTGGAGAAGCAAAATTTCAAGTCTTGGTCCTTAGAAGTAATGCTAAAAGGTAAACTCTCTTCCCACTTGTCCACAAAAGTCATACTTTTAGCATTTTAAAACACTTGCAAGAGCAAAGAAAAGTTCTCCCAGCTGGTCAGGTGCAGTGGCTCATGCTTGTAATCCCAGCCCTTAGGGAGGCTGATGCGGGCAGATCACTTGGGCCCAAGAGTTCGAGACCAGGCTGGGCAGCATGGCAAGACTGGTCGCACTTGCTTATATTCCCAGCTACTTGGAAGGGGGAGGTGGGAGGATCGCTTGAGCTTGGGAGATGGAGGCTGCAGTGAGCAGTGCTTGTGTCACTGCACCCCAGCCTGGGCAACACAGCAAGACCCCATTTCAAGAAAAAAACAGTTCTACCTAGCCATAATCAATGCAAATATTCCCCTACAATATATATTTGAATAATACACTAAAATAAAATAATTCCAGTAACACATTTAATATAATCTTTTCTCAGAAACCTGTTGGAAAAAATCCTTTGTATGAAATTCAATTATATAAATAGGAAATGTAGTGGGATACTGGAAAATTAATGTCACTTATTATGTTTACGATAAAATCCAACGTTCCTCAAAGTTTTCAGAATGAAAGCCTTGCTATCCAAAATGAATAAAGAAAACTTAGCTTGTGGTTTAAAGCAGGAAGTGCTTTTCTAATTTTATATGAATTTAGTTTATAATTATTAGCTTTATTAATTAAGATTATAGTTTTGATTGCTGAATCTCAATCAGTATTAGCAATGTGGACCCCTGACACGTTAGTCTGTCACCATTAGATCAGGAGCTACATTTTCTAGTACACTAGAGTATATACTGCGTGGGCTTGAATCCTGGCTCCATCCTGGATAAGTTACATAGCCTCTCTCTGCCTCAGTCTACTCATAAGTGAAGTGAGAATACATACACTCCTCTCTCACAAGGTCGTTGCGAGGGTTAAATGAGTTAGTATTTGTACTTTTACAACAGTGCTGGGCACATGGGGTACCTTCAGTGAACGACGGCTTCATTATTATTGTCAGGGCACTGGGCAGAAAAAGAGGTGGAAATGAGTTTAAAATAGCACATAGGGGATATATAGGAAAGTAGACAGCTTAAAATGATAGCGGATTTAATTTTTGAAGGACCTAGGAAATCTTCAGTTTCCACCAGGAAAAAGAGATTTACAACCATTCATCCACACTTACACAGCTCCTTCTCTGCCAGCCAGCTTGTTCCTGGGCTGACTCACTTCAATCACTGGTAACCTAAATCTTACTCAGAAGTATTAATATATCTATCTCATTTTCTTGTGTTAGAGGACCACTAGAGTTTTTAAATGATACTTGAAGATTATTGGTGCAATTATAATGTTTTTGTCACACTTCCTCAAAGAATATCGGAAAAGCTAAGGACAGATGTGTTCACAAAGTTCCCAAATACGAATTCTTGTAGATAAAGAACTTTGTCATACAAGGAAGAACTGTGTCAGAAGTAATTTTGCTAAAATGTGTTATGTCCTCATTCATACAGCTAATATTCACTGAAAGCCTTCCATATGCTAGGTGAAAGATAAAAATGCAGAAGACAATGAATTACTTTTAAGGATCCCACAGTATGGAAAAAAGGTCATATAATCCTGAAATACGATTGTTTCTGCCACATTCACAGTGATGCTTCTGTAAACAGGCATCTGGTCCAGAATGACTTCTAAGAAAGGATAAGGAAGGAGTCTACCTGCTTTAGACTCCTGCAAAGTATGACGTCTCTGAAAAGCTAAGACATAAGTAATTTTGAGTTGCTATTTCCTTTATTTCCTTAAGCCATATTTTACCTTCACATTTTACTTTTATTAGAAACAGAGACTCACTCCGTTGCCCATGCTGTAGTGCAGTGGTATCTTCACAGCTCACTGCAGCCTTGAACTCCTGGGCTAGAGTGATCCTCCAGCCTCAGCCTCCCAAGTAGCTGGGATTATAGGCATGCACTACAATGCCTGGCTAATTTTTTACTTTTTTTCTAGAGATGGGGGGTCTCACTATGATGCCAAGGCTGGTCTTGAATTCCTGGGCTCAAGCAATCTGCCCGCCTCAGCTTCACAAAGTGCTGAGATTACAGGCATAAGCCACCCCGCCTGGCCTACTTTCACATTTTTCACACCCAGAATGTACTCTTAACTCTGGCTTCTCATTACTACTTTTCTGCTTCTCACTGTCATTCTAAGCACAGGCATGTCTCATCCCCATCCTACCTTGTACTGCCTTTTCAGAGGAAACATCAACATTGCTTGAAAACAGCAAGATTCCATAGGGTGCAAACACTGATGTCTTACAGAAGAAAAAAAAAAACACGATTCCACAGAAATTTTCTTAAAGTGTTCTATCAACCACCTTCACTCAGATTGACTAGGAGTGATCACTTGGAGACTTTAGAACGTGAGCCTCAACCAGACCAGGAATCAGGATTTCTGTGGTTGAGACCCAGGGGTTTGCATATTTAATAAGCTAACTAGGTAGCTGTGATGACACGAAGGCTTCAGGATGATTTATCAGGGATAATGGGCAGATTACAGAGGTTTACTCTCTAAATAAATTGAATGTTAATTCCAATATGGGGTGAGGCACAGTGGCTCACACTGTAATCCTAGCACTTTAGGAGGCAAAGGCAGGTGGATCATTTGAGGTCAGGAGTTCAAGACCAGCCTGGGCAACATGGTAAAATTTCTACTAAAAATACCAAAAAATCAGCTGGGTGTAGTGGTGCATGCCTGTGATCTCAGCTACTCAGGAGGCTGAGGTGGGAGAATAGCTTGAACCCAGGAGGCAGAGGTTGCAGTGAGCCAGGATTGCTCCACTGCACTCCAGCCTGGGCAACAGAGAGAGACTCTCTCTCAAAAAAACAACAACAAAACCCACAATTCCAATATGGAAACATGAATATCATTTTCATAGAGTTATAATTTATATTCAATAAATTTAAGGTTATAGTTCAATGAGTTTTAATAAATATATATACCTACCTTATTGCCAAAAAATCAAGGTGTAGGCAATTTCATATCAACTCACTAATTGCCATTTGCATCAAACCCCCAACACTGTCACCCAGACCCAGACCCAGGAAACCAATGATCTACATTCCATAACTACAGATTAGTTTTGTCAGTTCCAAAATTTCATAAAATTGTATCGTGTATGTGTTCTTTTGTGTCTGCGTTCCTTCTTAAGTGTAACGTTTTTGAGATACACGCATGCTGTTGCATATATCAACAGTCTGTTCTTTCTTATTGCTTGGGGTATTCAACTGTTTGACAACTTGTTTATCCATTTACCTGCTGATAGACATTTGAACTGTTTCCAGGTTTAAACTATTATAAATAAAGCTGCTAGGCACATTCACACATACATCTTTATGTTGACATATGCATTCATTTCTGCTGGGTAAATACATGGGAGTGGAATTGCTGAGCTATATATTAAGTGTATATTTAGCTTAGAAGAATGCCAAATTGTTTTCCAAAGTGATAGTATCATTTTCACATTTCCCACCAGCAATGTATGAGAATTCCATATCTTTGCCAAACACTTGGTGTTTCCACCCTTTTTAATTTTAGCCTTTCTGCTAGGTGTATAGTGGTTTCTCATTGTGATTTTATTTCTCTAAAGACTAGTGATGATTCATTTTAATATAATAATAAGTTAGAATAGATGTATTGGGATTCTGTAGATCAATTCGGGGAGGATGATAAGAATATTGAATCCTGCAATCGATGAATACACAAAGCTTTCCTAGGAAATATTTGCCTTTATTCACTCACATATTTTCTTTCCTTCTGGGCATAATAAGAGGAACTTAGGGAAAACAGGCCTTGGTTCTGCATTCTCAGTAAAGGCCTTGATCTCTCTCTTTAATTTTCATGCATGATCTTTCCTCTCTATTTCTTTTCTTTCCTCTCTCTTTTCTCCTTCTCCCATTTCCTGGTAAAGATAGTTGATTGCACAGAGTCTGGAATCCTCTGTGAGTAGGTTCACATTCCAATTCTTCAACTTACTTATTTCTGATGGACAGGGATTTACTTTTTCATCTTATTTTGAGTTTCTATTTATTTTACTTTTTTATGACAAATTTTTTTTTTTTTTGAGACAGGGTCTCACTCTGCCACGCAGGCTGGAGTGCAGTGGCATGATCTTGGCTCACTGCAGCCTTGACCTCACTGGGATCAAGCAATCCTCACACCTCAGCCCACTGAGTAGCTGGGACCACAGGCACACACCACCATGTCCAGATAATTTTTGTATTTTTTGTAGAGATGGAGTTTTGCTGTGTTGCCCAGGCTGGGCAATCAAGTAATCTGCCTGCCTTGGCCTCCTAAAGTCCTGGGATTACAGGCATGAGCCACTGTGACCAGCTTTATTTATTTTTAAAAAAATTTGTTGAAATTTAATTAGCACTTCAGTGTTTTACAGAAAAATAATTTTCCAAAATATTAAGTAGATTGTATTATAAACACATTATTATATGAAAAAATTATATACACTTTGTTTTCTTCAACACATTTCCCATGGCATTAAAAGAAATGCAGTTAGTTATATTTTCAGTTATGACAAGCAAACATTCAGAAGACTACACTTCCTACCAAGGACAAGTAGAAAATGTGTACCAAGTAAAGTTTAAATAATCTTCTTGAAAGTTTTAAAGATCTACTACGACTGCCAGGACTCAAGAATGTAAAGATCTTAGAAGACAAGCTCAGAACACTCTTTCTGCTTCTACCCTTGAAGCACTGGTCAACTCCCAAGGAGCAATGGGCAAGAGACAAGGTGGCCAAGCAGAAAGTGACAGGACAGCTATGAGGCTGGGTCACGAAGCAGGGGTCTCTGTAGACTCATCATAATTAGGAGTCAGATGGCAGAATTCAGAGATTTTCAAAAAAATGTTTTGGCAAAGGCCTTCAAATCTCAGTTGGGACTAGTGAAGCATTGTACTCCAGATATAAGATATCAACTAGGCCTCATGGGGACTGAGACGCTGCACTGAGTCAGTTAAATGCTTATTTGAATTAACATCTGTGCCTAATCTAGAAGCCTAACAGAGGCTGTGGTGGGGATTCGCTGGGGGATCACTTTGTCTTCTCTAGCCTCTACAAATTTCTGTCCAACATGTCCAGAATTCAGCCAAAATTATCAGACATCAAAACGGAAACAAAAACCAGACAATGGAAAAGATCAAGAGATAATCCAGATATTGAAGTTAACGAAAAATCTTTAAAATAACTGTAATTAATATTTCCAGGAAAATAGGCAGCAAGATAAGGAGTTTCACTAGGATACATGAACAGAAATTCCCAAACTGAAAATCACAGTAACTAAAATTAATAGCTCACTGGCATATTCAACAACAGATTGGTCACAGCAGAAGATCTGATTAGTAGTATAGAAGATAAAGCAGTACACAATGTCTAGACTGCAGCATAAATAGAAAGAAAAGATGAAAGAGGAGAGGGAGAGAGAGAAGCAGGAGGAGGGAGAAAGAGAGAGACAAAGAAAGAAAATAAGATACAAACATCTCAGACAGATGTAATTGGAGTCTCAGAAAGGAGGAAAGGAAATGCGAGACAGAAGCAATATTTTGAAGAAGTAACAGTGAAGAATTACCCAATCTAATAATCACTGCATAGAAAAAAGAAATTTAGTGAAATCCAAAGAGGACAAATTCAATGAAAACTAAAATAGCCACATCAAGGCAAAACTGCTGAAAATCAAAGACAAATAATAAATTCTCAAAAGTAACCAGAAGAAAAATACACATTTCCCTTATAGGATAAAAATCAATTACCTATTGATTTCTTAATAAACATCATGAAAACAATAGAATGCCATCTTTAAAAGGCCGAAAGAAAATAACTACAGACCGTATTCTCCAGCAAGCTGAAACAGCCTTCAGAAGTTCATATAAAATAAAGACAATTTTCAGGCAAACAAAAGCTATATGACAATTTATTACCAGTAGAACTGGGCTAAGACAAATATTAAAAGGAGTCTTTCTAGCTGAAAGAATTTGATTCAGAAAGAGCATGAAAATGCAGAGAAAGTAAATATGTGAGTAAATTCAAGTGAATACTGATTGCAAAAAAAATTATATTAAATTTTGTGATTAAAATATATGTACACATATACACATGTATGTATGAAACTAAAATGTGTCAACATAGCACACATGGTGGGAGGAGTTTAACTAAACTAACATAAGTTGTACTTAAATCCTAGTATTGTTTGGAAAGTGATAAAAGTAGTAGCTCAAGTACCTAGGAGAACAAAATTAGAACAGCAAACAATAGTGGAAAAACTGGAAAAATTAAACTTGATTAACCCAAAAGAAGAGGAGAGAAAAAGGAGTATAAAACAAGTGAACCAAATATAAAACAGAGAGTAACATGTCAGCTACAATTTCACATATGTCAGTAATTACATTTAATATAAGTGGACTAAATATACCAACTAAAACTCAATGATTTCCAGATTTGGTTTAAATAATAAAGAAAGAGTCCTTACATATGAAGACAAAAAGTTTGAAAGTAAAGAATGGAAAAAGTTATTCCATGAAAACACTAACCAGAAGAAATCTGGCATAGCTATACAGTACTATCATCAGAGAATGCAGACTTACAGGCAGGAGGCATTATTAGAAATAAACAAGGATATTTCATAATTACAAAAAATCAACTTTAAGGAAGATAAAACAATTCCCAATCTATATGCATTTAATGAAACAGCTTCAAAATATGTAAAGCATGTATCTCTTTTCATTTTACTGGAATTCATATTTCAGGCATGCTTATTAATGGTAGACACAAAGGAGGACAGTAGGTACACTGTAGAGTTGACTCTGCCTACCATTAGCCAAAGGAAGTCACTGGCTGGCTCAAAAATCAGGGGGCAGGGAAGCATACACCACTCACAGGCACTGGCAAGGAACAGGTGCAGAATTGGTGCCAGTGATGCAAACTAGCACAGCGTGTATATATAAAAGTGATAAAACAATTAAAGGAACTTTACAGAGGTAGGTAGTTCTAACTTCATTAGAACACCAATGAAGAAATACAAACTTGGACCATCTCAGGAGTTATGAAAATTTCCCATGTCTCAAATTCTAATCAAGGACAGGTAAAATTTTGGAAGGGAGAAAATAAAATTTGCTTTTGTCCAGTCACTATTTGTTCTATTTGTTTTGTTTTACCGGAAACCTCCACTTGCCGTCTGTTGTTCCTACGGAAAACAGTACAGCACTCAGTTAATCCAGATGAAGCTGCTAATATTCAACTGTATTTGATCTACAAAACTGGCAAATATATGGTTCAACCAATTATAAGTGAAGCTAGAATGATGAATAAGAAAAGGACTGATTGGTAATAGCATAGCTATGTAAGACAGAGTCTGAATGACATATAAAACTATTTGAAGACTAAGTTATAAGAAAATGTAACAGAAAATGCATGAATAAAGAATTACCTGTGAGTAATAAAAAATGATTTTCACTTGGGACATTATAAAAGAAATCTTCGTGAAAAGAACATTTTAGAATTCTGTTAATTATCTGGGCTGTGCTCCAAGTATTAAAATTTTAAAGAAGAATCCACCACTCCCAGACCCCCTCCCCCACCAAATTTTCCACCATTAAGGGACCAAAAAAGTGGCGAACCAAGCTCTTCTTGGTTATTTATGAAGTCAACCTTGAATACTAACCATTTTCTTTTTCCTTCATGAATTATTGCCCATGACTTACAAAGGAATAGAAGCCCAATCTCAGTTTAACAGAAACATGAATCAGACAAAAGCCATGTTTGAGTGTTATCTAATGAAAATACTAAAACACTAGCATGGAGTGGAATGTAAGCCCTTAAAATCTGCACTAGCGGACTGGGAATTAAAGAGATGGAAAGGATACTAACCACTTGAGAAAACAACAAGAAGAGGACTGTTCTATTTTTTGCATTAATATCAAAGAAAGTGGAGTGATTTAAAGAACTCTGAAATTGAGGATAATTAAAGCTGGCATGATAAAAAGGAGGAAGGCACAGAATCAAAAACTAAATGTTTATATACAATACAATGCAGCTTGATGCTGTCTCTCTGAAAGTAGAAAAGAAGCTGCCGCCATCAATCAATATAGCAATATATCAAAACAAGTATCAATATAATGATCCTTTATGAAACCTCGGCAGTTATTATCCATCAAGAACATGGAATTGGTAGTCAGAGGACTGGAGTCCTCTCCCTGTCTCTGGTGACTATTTGTAGCTCCTGCACTGCCGGCCCTTGGTGTGGCTTCTCAGATTGCGTACTTGGAACATCTGGGTGTTAATAACTGCCTTTCTACTACATAAAGATGCATCAAGTATCAGATGGAAGAATGGAAACATAACTGTAAAATCTTATATTTGCTATTTTTACTAGAGTTATTACAATTTTTAATACTATACTTTATAACAATATAATCTCCAAGATACCTGCCTTACCTGGATGGCTAGTATAAGAGAGAAATAATCTGAAATTTAGATTCATTATTCAGATTTTATTATCATCTGTCAGACTTTTTTTCTGAATTGCTTCATTCATTCATTCACTCAATGCAAAGCTATGGTGCACTTAGTATGTTCCTGGCTCTGTATTAGGTGCTGATGTTACAGCAATGAATGTACCTTACCCTAGTGTAGCCTGAAGTCTAATGAGGAAAAAGGAAACTAGGCCTCTAATAAGACAGATACAGATACACTATAAAAAGTGACTATAGCACATGAAGTCATACTATAGGCTTCCTGGGAACTTATAATGAGGAAACAAATGTAGAGTGAGGGCCTAGGAAGCATCATTTAAACTGAGATCGAAAAGAGGAAGAGTAAATAGCCAGTTGAGAACATGGGGAAGGAGCATTTCAAGCAGGGGAGACCGCAGGCGTAAAGGCTTTGAGTCAGTAAAAAGCCGGACACAATTGACAGTGGACAGGTAGCAGGTGACGGCAGCAAGAGGTGGCACTGGAGAGTTATTCAGGGACAAGCTCCTTCAGGCCTTGCTGGGAGTCTGGATGTTATTTTAGGAACAATGGAAAGCCACTGATGGTATTAAACAGGGACGTAATTGTATCAGTTCTGCATTTTTAAAAGGTAACTTGAGTTGCAGTGTGGAGAATATAATGTAGTCAGCTATGAACAGAGACAGAATGACCTAAACTTGGAAGGCAATTTCCATAATTTGTGGGACACCAAGTTTAGATTAAGTCGGTAGTAGAGCTAAAGAGAGCTGAAATCATGCAAGGTGTAATTTGGAGGGAAGAATACAGAATTTCGTGACTCACTGGACATGGAGGGCAAGAGAGATAGATGCGTCAAGGACCCATAGGGTTCTGGCCTAAGATTCTGGGAGTTCCCCTTTGTTCTTGAGAGATGCCCTCGAAGGCCTGGACAGGCAGTAGAGCATAGGGAATTTATTTTTCTGTCTAAGGCCTCTGGGAAACAATCCTAGTGTCTTGGGCGTAGCTTTAAGCATGTCTCAACAATCGAGTTTGAACAATCGAATGTGCATGTTTTTCCAGGAATCATCCTGATTATTGTGTGGACTAAAAACTGGAAAGATCAAGACCAGAGACAAATAGCTGATTTAGGAGGCTGGTGCTCATTTAGGCTAAACTGGAGGGAGAGAAAGAAATTCAAAACATTTAGGAGATAGAATCAGGTTTCAGTCAATAGGTGGCTGTTGGTATCGTTTTATAAGATGGAAAACAAAGGAAAATGAGCAGATAGACAACTGAGTTTTAAGTGCTCACAGGGCCAGTGAAGAGAGGTTGGTACCAGAGGTTGGAACTCCTCAGAGTAGGTTGCGGATACGTATTTGGAAGTTATCAGCCACAGTGTGTAAATGCTACTGAAAACTCATGGAAGTGGATAAAAGGCTCAGAGAGAGCTTGGGAGCAGGATAAAAGACCTAGAACCAATCTGTGGATAATGCTAGCCTTTAAGGAGTGGCAAGAAGAGTAGCATGCAAAGGTGCATGGAAAACCAGGAGAATACAGCTGTCAAGAAGGGCCCGAGGCCATCTGTGCTCATGGCTTTATTCTGCAGTTGAGCAGCAACTCTGGGAGAACCTACAACCTATCCCCAGGCTAGAAGTGGAAATAGAAATAAATAGAGTAAGCCAGGAGTCTGTGAAAACACACACAGTTTAAAGGAATAATGAATCTATTACTGTAAATGAAGTGTAGAAAAGCTAATAACACTAGGGCTGGGCAGTCCCAGCTACTCAGGAGGCTGAGGTAGAGGATCGATGGAGCCCAGGGGTGCACTATGATGATCAGGTGTCTGAACAAATTTTAGCATCAAATGGTGATCTCTCCGAGCGGAGGACCATCAGGTTGCTTAAGGAAGAGTGAACTAGCCCTGCTCCCAAATGAAGCAGGTCAAGACTCCCGTGCTGATCAGCAGTGGGATTGTGCCTGTAGCCACTGCACTCCAGCCTGGGCAACATAATGAGAACTTGCCTCTTAAAATAAAAAAAGATAAATTGATAAATACATAAATAAATAAATGGGAAGAGATGCTGCGTGGCAGGGATATTATAAGTCATTATAAGCAACGTTCTAGAAAACAAGCAGGGCAGTGGAAATACAAAGGAAAATACTGAAACTACCATTATTAACATAAGTCATAAAGGATTGTATTACTGTCAACAACAAAAATAAAATCACCATACTTGAACAATTATTCTTCTAAGGAAAAAAAGACAATGTAGATGTCCACTTGTTCTAAAGAATTACTTTTAGCTAGTTAGCAGTGGTCACATATTATCTGTCTGCATGTTTGGGTTTTTTTACTAGTAGTCCCTTACAGCCAACAGCATGTGTTTACAGAAGTTAACGGTGCCAGCAGATTGCATGGCAGCTGCACCGCTCACCGGCCCTTCCTGGAATCAGGCACGGGGCTTTGATCTTCCTGGTACCAACCTCCAGCCCAAGGAACTGGAGTAATATCTCTTCATGAAGGAACATCAAGCTAATGGCAAATCGCCATCAAAGAGCATGTTCCACTTTGAAGTCAGTAAACCTGAAGTTGTTTCAGAGTAATGAGAGGAGAAGGTAACTTCACAGCATCAAAGAGAGATTCCAAATATCAGACATCTTAGCCATTGAAACAGAGAGCACAGTTATAGGTCCCAGAAAACACAGGGATGGAAGGAGATGAACAATAACAGGAAGAAAAAAGACTGTTGGTAAAGCAACATCATTATATTTAGCCCTGTAGAAATGTAAACACTAAAAAACAAGCAGAGTTAGGAAATGAACTGGGTTGTACAGGAGTTAAGTAATAAAATGGAAATAATAGTATCTGAGATATTAAATGCTGTATGAATGACAGACGTTGTTATCATGCTTTAGAAAATTAATATTCTGCAGGGCTAAAGCTGTGAGTAGGCAGAGAATGGGAGTGACTGTGTGTAAATAGTGTGATATGAACATCCGGCCGGACCCAAATTGAAGCTGCTTAAGACATTTCCATCCAGGCTGCTCTTTGACCTGTTCTCCAGTTTTATACAGGAGTATTTTTCAATTTTATTCCATTTTGACAATAATTTAAAACATTTTTATGATAATGTAAAGAAAGAATACAAGTATGTTCTAGATCATCAAGTGGCAACTGTGTCACTGAGTACCACCAAATAATTTCACGGCCGGCTTTTTGTTTGTGTTATATTCATGTCGGCCCCATCCTTTCCACTTTTATAACAAAGAATAGGTGAGAAAAGAGGCTGACTAAACACAGGTTCCCACCAAGTGAAGATCAAGTGAAGCGACAGCACAGTGTGCAAAAGAGGACGTTAGCAGAGAAAAACACAGAGAACCAAGAGATTGCGAGAAATCACACCCTGCCCCCAGTACCGCTCCTGTTTTCCCAGACAGCGTATCATCTCAGCTTCAAAAAAACAGCATCATCTGTTGTTAGTTTGAATTGTATTCGTTTCATCAGATGCCTACCATATTGCAAGTACTTTGCTAAACTCTGGGAATCTAAAGACAGGTAAGTTTCAGTTCAGGTCCACCACTAAATTCAACTATAAAAGACAGTAACTAAAGTCCATATTGTCATGGGGAGACACTAGAGTGTTTCCATAAAAACCAGTTCTGCTTGCCCAGCTATATAAAAAGACAGAAAAAGTCAAGTTCAACATTTCATGCCGACATTGGCTTTTACAGTTTGGCTTTGACAGAATCTCATGCTGACCTTGATTTCACACAGGGAATAAAGGCCACTTACTATATGCACATCCGTACACTTCGATCCGCATCCCAATCCTGCCCCTAGGGTTCCAGGCTAAAGGGAGAAAGCGCAGGAACCTGGCTTCAAAGGGAGGCTGGAGTCTGTAGTGCACCACACTGTCTGCGTTTGTGTTTCCTGGAAAACCCTAGGAGAAAACAGAGAAAGGGATCAATGTATCTGCAGGACACACCATCTTCATGTCGTCACCTCTCATGGCAATGAGCAATGTATGCTCGCTTTGCTAATATGCAAAAAGCTGCTGTTTTAAAGGAAACACTGCTAATGGTTAACAAGGATGTGACAACCTCTCCAGTCCCTGAATTCGTCACCATTGTCTAAGTTTTCTTTATTTACAAGGTAGTTTAAATTTCATCCACATCATTAAAATGACTATAAACATGGCAACCTCTATGAAGTTCACTTTTCTAAAATGCTATCCCACAGATTCCTCCCTAATCAAGTGGTAAAGATGCTCACAAAAAGCCACATCACATGGCAGGGCAATCAAGCACCACGGTAACAGGCAAAGGATCTGCAGTGAGAATCCTGGAATCTGCAATTAGAGAGTTGGAAGGGACCTAGACATGATTCCAGCCCCACACCCTTAATTTATAAATGAAAAACTACAGTCTAGGAAGAAGAAAGGACACTCTGGAGGTAGGACAGCTATCATAGAGTGTGGGCAGGATTACATCTGGCTTTGATTTCAATGGCATCATTGATTCCATGTTATCAGGCTGAATCCACTTCACAGTGAACACAGCTCCATGCACCTGTGGCCTGTTTCCTGGGGGTGTCAAGAGGAGCACACTGCCACTATCTGCTCCAAGGCAAAGGGGCTTTCACTCTTCACTCCATCTTGCTATCTGAACATTGGGAAGGATCAGAGTGCAAAGCAAACAAAGTTGTTTTAGATATTTTTTTCATTGTTCTCAGATTTTTAAGAATATGGCATGTGTGAGAACAAGGAAAGGGTTAATGCTATTTTGCACTAGAAGTGCTATCACCTAACATGACTGGGGCACATAGTTAATATCTATGTATGGAACAGGCCAGCAGTTAGTTCAACCAAGAATGAAGAATGTTTCCTGCCTAATTATTTTGCTTTACTAAAGAATGTACCAGGCTTAGGGCCAGCGCGTTGGCTCACGCCTGTAATCCCAGCACTTTGGGAGGCCAAGTTGGACAGATCACGAGGTCAGGAGATCGAGATCATCCTGGCTAACACGGTGAAACCCCGTCTCTACTAAAAATACAAAAAAATTAGCCGGGCATGGTGGTGGGCCCCTGTAGTCCCAGCTACTCAGGAGGCTGAGGCAGGAGAATGGTGTAAACCCGGGAGGTGGAGCTTGCAGTGAGCCAAGATCGTGCCACTGCACTCCAGCCTGGGCGACAGAGGTAGACTCCATCACAAAAAAAAAAAAAAAAAAAAGAATGTACCAGGCTTAACAACAAAACAAAGAGAATAAAGATCAGCCTGCCTCATACCCAACCACCAATGGGTGTCCCTGGGTATAAACACATGGAAATAAAAATATAGGAAATGCCTTAGTGAATGTGGTCAATTTTAAATGCTAGTGTTGATGCTCAGACTTGGTAACAGTTCGTCTATTGTTAATTCGTGCCAATTCCAAGATAATCATTTCACCTTTTTTTTTTTTTTTTTTTTTTTTTTTTTTTTTTTTTCTGAGACAGGGTCTCACTTTGTCTTCCAGGCCGGAATGCAGTGGTGCGATCTAGACTCACTACAACCTCTGCCTCCCAGATTTAAGCAATTCTCCTGCCTCAGCCTGCCCAGTAGCTGGCATTCCAGAAGCATGCCACCACACCTGGCTAATTTTTGTATTTTTAGTAGAGACGGGGTTTTGCCATGTTGGCCAGGCTGGTTTCGAACTCCCAGCCTCAAGTAATTTGCCCACCTGGGCCTCCCAAAATGCTAGGATTACAGTCATTAAGCCACCATGCCCAGCCAGAGATAATCATTTCACTCTTGTTCCAACTAAAGGGTCATGTACATCGACATTTTTTGAGTTAACAATCGCTATACCAACTTCAGGTAAATATTTGCACAACCTCTGCACTCACAACCTTCTGTCTGGACAGCCCAGGCTGACCTATATAAAAGAAGCCATATCCCAGCTCCACCACCTCAAACCCTGCTACTCTCTGCTGCAAGCTGCAGTTTCTCCATCTGTGAAACTGATCTTGAAGGGCCAGAGTACTAATTGAGATAACACCTGGAAATCAATCAGCCCACCACCTGCGTGGAGGTGGCTGCTGTGATTGTGACCCAGGTTGGTCATTGTTGGCATGGTTGGTAGAGATGGTTGATCCATCCTTTTATTTTGGTTCTAATTTGGGTTTAATATCTAAGACATACAGCCAAGCTAATACAAGAACATCAGATCCTATGAGCATTTTGACTCCAATGTTAAAATTCAGTTGCAGAATTAAAATCATATTTTTCTGTAGCTGAATAAACTTTGTAAACCTCAGCAAAAACAATACAATAAAAACCTTTCAAAGGAACCCTACCAAAACAGAATTTTTTCACCTTTATCTGCCAAATGTTACTTCTTTCTCAATTTGTTTCAAAGTGTAAACTCTGGAAAATATACTTCTGAGTGATGTGATAATAGGATCATGTAGCAAAATAAAACTTAATGTCAATTTTTGCTTAATTAAATAGATTAACATTTAAGAAACTTTAAATAGACATTACCTAATAGTTTGTGAATAAGGCAGATGAGAAACATACTCTTTGCAACTTCAGAGATATCAATAAAAAATCAAACATTTATTACATATGACTAAAATATATTTAAAAGTTTATATATATAATCACATTAATTCATTTGAAATTTCAGAAATCACATTATTGTCTTATATAGAATTATAACCAGCTTCATGGGATACCAACCAAATGAACCACTGTTCTTTAAAGATATAGAAATTAAAGAGAATACATTTTGGGCAGGAAAGATTTATACTAGCATTTCACTGTCATAACATTCAGGGCTTATTATTGAAATAACCTTATCTATAACAGTAAAATAATGTGTGTCTTAAAAATATGCAGTGTAGTTTCTTATTTATTATATTCAAAGTTTGCTTCGAGAGCTTGCAGAGCAGACATGAGTTCATACGTGAGCACATGACCACTACGGACAGAAAGAATGGCGAACACAAAGACCTATTCCTGCTTTGTTTTATTAAGGTGGAAAAACGAACCTTCTAGAAGGATAAGCCAGCTTTTATAGAAATATGCAGCCTTCAACAATTCTGCAGAGGCTTACGTCTTCATTTTAGACATAAATAGCAAAAGTTACAGCTCTGTGGAGAGTGAGGGTATACAGAATAGTTTTCGGAAGCCATAGTCCTTCAAATTCTTTTCTGTCTTAGCAGGCATGTGACCTTGGGAGAAATCATCATCTTTCTTTGTAAAGTAGAAAAATTGTATCTATCTGGCAATCTTGGTAAGAATTAAACTAGTTAATATATATAATGTATTTGTAAGATTATAAATCATTTATTTTTTACAGCATTCCTCTGCAATTTGTGTGTGTGGTGTGTTCATGTATAAAAGCTCCATCTTATTGAAAGACAGTCACTTAAGTTTGATGTGGATTCTCTGTCTTTGAGGGCATTCTAGCTAAGTATTATATTAAGTAATCAAAAATGAGTATTTTCAGATAAAATGATCAGTTTCCATAACATGTTCCTTAGGTATACATGAAAGTGAGTGAAATCTGCGGCTTGGAGTCCACTCACATGCTGGAAATATGTTTCATAAATAATTTAGGAATTAATGACATTACTGAAAAATTTCCAACACTCTACTTTGATTTTTAGCGGTCACATTAGTTAAATCTAACAGTCACAGTCAGTGATGGTGCTCATGTGATATCCTGGTCTGCAAAATGTTAAGCGCATGGATAGTTGTGGTTGAGTATGAAATACCCAGATTGACAGCCATAAGCAGAAAAAAATCTGTCAAGGTAAGACTCATCAACAACTATTTTTAAGAAGACTGTTAGAAATTTGTTATTTTTCCAAATTTGTCATTTTGTCATTTCTGTTTTAGTGGGTTTTTATCATCAAATCTTTATTTTAAATTACGAGATACTGAAATGAGTCTCTGAATTTTAAAATAAACATTAAATCTCTACTATGCATAGGGCCACCACTGTCCTATGCAATTTCACACATCAATTCAGTTAGTCCTCACAAAGATGTTAGAAAAGCCTGTCTAAAAGAAACAGATTCTTCAGCAGCTTCAGTTTATTATTAGTTTCCCAAACACTTAAATGTACTACGAGAGATTCTTATTTTAATATGCTGTTATTATTTTAAGCTGTCTGTGTGTGGGGTAAGAAAGTGCCCGTGAGTCCCTGAGTTCTAATTCTGTTTCCTTAATTGCCAGACTATGCTGATATTGGATACAAATTTTAGTGCTTGTAATCTCAGCTTCTTTATGAGTAACATGGGAATAATACTAACTGCTCTGCCCAATTATAGCTTGTTGGAAGATGTTTCTGTAGGTGACTTCAAAATTCTAAGGAACTATACAAATGAAAGATATTGCTAAGCTGCTCCCTGTAATGCCTGTTAACAAGATTATTTGATTAAGACACTTTGTTAATTATAAGTGTTATATGAAGAAATTGTATTAATTCTAAGTATATAGCATTAATAATATAATTACCATGACATATACCTTGATGATTTTATGAAGCAATTAAAATGTTTCTATAGATTATTAAAAATTAGCATATTATCTTTATCACCTTAGTATGACTAGTACAATTATATTTATGCAGAGTTAATCAGTAAAAAGCAAAATGAAAGATATAAAACAATATTATATGTAAGTGTAAATATGTGTGAACAAAAGAATTATGATTTTTAAAAGAATATGTACAAATAAAATGTATTGGACTGGGGAAATATGAATCATGTACAAAAAAATATGATTAATGAATGAATGAACACCAAGGCAAGAGTAGGGTCTTATGCAGACCAGACCGATCATTCCTTCATGATTACTCACTAAGGAAGGTGACTCATGGAAACCTTGGCATCTGATGTCTAAACATAGTAAATAAACAAAAAAGGGCTCCAGCATGTGGACCCAGTGCCTGCTGAAGAGCTGTTAACCCTCTGCTGCTGCCCCCTCAACCTCCTCTGTTCTCAGGATGCTCATGGGTGAAGAAGGGACTCCTGGCAAGTGGGACCTGGGGCTGCCACAGAGCCCTCCCAAGGACATAGACAGGACTGTGAGGCCACGGCTCCAGCAGGATGCTGGCTCCTGCAACTGTCAAAGACTTCAGCTCAGTTTTGGAGTTTCCTGTAAGTGATATATCATATGATGAACACAGGCTGCGAAGCTGGAGAGACCTGGGTCTGAGGCCAAGTCCCAACATATACTGGTTCTGTGACTGTGGGCAAGACACTCAACCACGCAGAGCCTTCTCCTCTGAACACTGGGGAGAATGATGATCCGGACTCACAAGACTCTCACGTATCTCTAAAGCTCTTAACATAGGACTAGCATACGGTAAATAATCAATTAGTAGGAAACACTGCTTATTATTATCTGTTAATACTAAGTGATATTTCCTCTTACTCATTCTCACAATGCTACTCTTTGAAAGCAAGGATGAATCTATGGACCTTTTCCTTTGATTCTCAGCCGGAATCAACTTAATCACTTAGGTCTGCATCCCCTCACTAGCAGATGACATTAGGCAAGGATGATACTGCTTTTGTCCCTGTTATTTTCAGAAGATTACAGATAATGGTGTAACATGCAAAACTGTTTCTTATTTAAATTAGTATCGATAACTGCCTATGTGAACAGTTGTACTTAATTATTTTAAAGTGCTCATGAATGCATTATTTTTTACTAACCATTAGAATACAATGTTTATCAACACAAAATGAGAAAAGTGTGACTTTGCCTTATTCTAGCATTATTAAATGAACTGAAGTAGGAATTAAGAAATGTGGGTGATGGTTCCAGCTTTTTCATTAATTAGCTGTGAGAGCCATGGTATGTCACCTGAGGCTTCAGTTTAGCTGGAAAGCATGCTACAAAGTACTATGGGGCCAGGCACGGTGGCTCATGCCTGTAATCTCAGCACTTTGGGAGGCTGAGGCAGGTGGATCACCTGAGGTCAGGAATTTGAGACCAGCCTGACCAATATGGTGAAACCCCATCTCTATTTCAAAAAAAAAAAAAACCAAAAATTAGCCTAGCATGGTGGTGTGCCCCTGTAGTCCTGGCTACTCAGGAGGCTGAGGCAGGAGAATCACTTGAACCTGGGAGGTGGAGGTTGCAGTGAGCCGAGATTGCACCACTGCACTCCAGCCTTGGTGACAGAGTGAGACTCTATCTCAAAAAAAAAAAAAAAAGTAGTATGGAATCTAAAGTTTTCTCTAGCACTAAAAGAGCATGGCCTGAAATAGTTAGTTTATATTCGGGTCAAGAAAGAAAGAAATGTTAGAAAATAAATGAATAATCAATGACAGCAAGAGTACCTTATTGGAAAAAATGTATGTATATATGCACTTATGCATATCTTTAATTAATTAAATATACATAATCATTGAAAAATGAAACACTGCAAATACATTTGTATGTTTGATACTTGAGCATCCTATCATTTTTTTAAATAAAAATGAATTAATTTACCATATTTGAATAAGTCAAAAAGAGAAAAACAAAGTGTAGTGCATGTTTAAAAAAGACAAATAAATGTTTGTGTTTGCTCACTACTGATAACTTTGAGGAAATGATCATTCAGAAACATAAAGCAATCCAAAATACGAATCAAGATTAACGTAAATGTAATTTTTAAAATAATTCAGATAATGAAGAGAGCAGAACTAGCCACTTAGCTCTCTGTATATAGTGCATATAACTAAATATATCACAACTTAACAGGCGTTCTTTCTGAGATATTGCTATTGACTTTAAATGATCACGTTAGTTAAATGTTAAAATACCTTTTTAGAAAGCAGGCAATTCATCTAACTTGTCATTTGACTTGGATCTGGGACAAATTTCCTGTGTGAGATTGATCAGCATGTCTTCTTGCTCTCAGATTTCCTTATTATAATTATAAATCTTTGTGCCTTATAAAAGTTCAGGGTATTATGCTGGTGCCATCTCTGGTTTCTCAGAGACTTTCAACAACCAGCCTCGTTCTGGGACATGATAGGCATTGCTGCAAAATCAGGAATTCTTCAAGGAGAATAAATGTCTGCTGTGTTGAATTTTATGCTAGGTTCCCCAAGATCTGCACCTTTAACCCTCCCAGTATTTACCAGTGTTTAACACACAGTTGGTCCCAGGCAAATGCTGGTGCACTGACTTGATTGTTAGAAATAATCTTCCTAATGCTATATTCTATCCAGTCTCTCTAAACCCAGCTCCTTGTTCTGCTGTGAGGAGCAGCACCTGTCTTCCTTTGCCTGGGTGACTCAGAGATGCCCACTCCATCTTCATCTCTGGACTCACCACAAGTAATTACTTAGTACTTCCCACCAACTGCAGAGCAATTTACTTAATTGGAATGTTTTCACACTTTTTCATCCCTGATAATCAACCTGCACAGATGAAAAAATTAGCTAGGGAATCACTATTATTAAATCAGTGATCTAAGTGCTTTTGTTATTCTAACTGAAAATTGTAATCATTTGTTTGTTTGACATATTTACTATCTGACCATCAGACAGATTCACTTATTTTGTCCATTTTAACTATGACCAAATATATATTTTTTCACATAAGAATCTGTGAGCATTAAACTGGGTGATCCATATTACCTTATCCCTGAATATTAGATATTGGATATGCACATACAAATGGTTATGATTGTTATGATTAGTGTGCTATCATGGAAAATAGTTCATAGTCTTGATAGTCTGAGAATTGCTATGATAATAGTTTCAAAAACATTTAGGATACTTGTTCCCTATTTTTAATTTTAGTTTTTAGCAACAAAAATCATTTGAAAAGCAAACAAAATTATTTCACCATATTTTTACACTTGTAATCATGTATAATACGTTCTAAGAAAAAGCCATCTCTACCTATAAAATACTGCATAAGATGCAATTGTATATTCCTGTGTGTCTCTCACACAGATCCATCAATGAACAATATTGCCAGCATTGGGAATAAGAATACTGAATGAATCAGGCCTAGGTTGAGTATTTTCTGTGACTATGAGGCAGTCACATCCTCCTATTTGGTTAGGATCTACAGAGTAACTAGACTCAAAAGGTGCCACCTGCCTAGAATAATATTAGTATGAGATAATAAGAGTTGCTCATAGCTTATCCGGCAGTGTGCTAGAAATTTTCTGTCTATGAATTTGTAAAACAGCAGCAACAACATGAGGCACATGGAAGTTCAATGTCCTATGGTCAAAGCTGAGCTCTGGAAACCGCCTTCGCACAAATTCTAACAGTGAAATTGAAACCGCCTTTGCACAAATTCTAACAGTGACAAAATTATGGCAATGGGGAGACCTGATCTAGTTAACCCCATTCTTGCCCTTGACCTTCAAGTTGCCCTTAATCATTCCTGAGCTTGGGCAAGCCAACCGTGAGAGACATCTAGTTTATAGTTTAAATGATAATAGCCCTTCCCCAAAACTAAAGCTAATGAGAGACCACCAGGCTAGGAGAATAGAGGAGCCTAAATTCTGCTAAGATACAGACATAAATGATTGCTAGCCATTTGTTCAGAGGTCACGAGATATGCAACTTCCTCATGAATTCCAGCAGATAACATCAGTATTGTAGAATCTAAGATTAGCCTTTTGAGATATCCAGGTTTTTTGCATGTTTGACTACCCATGGCTCCACTGGACCTGCCAACAGCTCCCGTAGCTCCACCCATAAGTAACTCAGCATGCAGAAGAATCATTTCCCACACCCCTATGATTACACCCCCAACCAATCAGCGGCAAGCACCCATTTCCTAGCCACTCCCAGCCCTTCCCCTAAACTACCTTTGAAAAATCCCTAATCTATGAGCCTTCGATGAGACTGACTTGAACAATAACTTCATCTCTAATGTGGTGTGGCCGACCTTGAGTTAATTTAAACTCTTTACAGCAAATACCATGTTTTTTGTTTTGTTTTGTTTGCAGATGACATGATTGTATAATTAGAAAACCCCATTGTCTCAGCCCAAAATGTCCTTAAGCTGATAAACAACTTCAGCAAAGTCTCAGGATACAAAATCAATGTACAAAAATCACAAGCATTCTTATACACCAATAACAGACAAACAGAGAGCCAAATCATGAGTGAACTCCCATTCACAATTGCTTCAAAGAGTATAAAATACCTAGGAATCCAACTTACAAGGGATGTGAAGGACCTCTTCAAGGAGAACTACAAACCACTGCTCAACCAAATAAAAGAGGACACAAACAAATGGAAGAACATTCCATGCTCATGGATAAGAAGAATCAATATCGTGAAAATGGCCATACTGCCCAAGGTAATTTATAGATTCAATGGCATCCCCATCCAGCTACCAATGACTTTCTTCACAGAATTGGAAAAAACTACTTTAAAGTTCATCTGGAACCAAAAAAGAGCCCTCATTGATAAGACAATACTAAGCCAAAAGAACAAAGCTGGAGGCATCACGCTACCTGACTTCAAACTATACTACAAGGCTACAGTAACCAAAACAGCATGGTACTGGTACCAAAACAGAGATATAGACCAATGGAACAGAACAGAGCCCTCAGAAATAATGCCACATATCTACAACCATCTGATCTTTGACATACCTGACAAAAACAAGAAATGGGGAAAGGATTCCCTATTTAATAAATGGTGCTGGGAAAACTGGCTAGCCATATGTAGAAAGCTGAAACTGGATCCCTTCCTTACATCTTATATAAAAATTAATGCAAGATAGATTAAAGACTTAAATGTTAGACCTAAAACCATAAAAACCTTAGAAGAAAACCTAGGCAATACCACTCAGGACATAGGCGTGGGCAAGGACTTCATGTCTAAAACACCAAAAGCAATGGCAACTAAAGCCAAAATTGACAAATGGGATCTAATTAAACTAAAGAGCTTCTGCATAGTAAAAGAAACTACCATCAGAGTGAACAGGCAACCTACAGAATGGGAGAAAATTTTTGCAATCTACCCATCTGACAAAGGGCTAATATCCAGAATCTACAAAGAATTTAAACAAATTTACAAGAAAGAATCAAACAACCCCATCAGAAAGTGGGCAAAGGATATGAACAGACACTTCTCAAAAGAAGACATTTATGCAGCCAACAGACACATGAAAAAATGCCCATCATCACTGGCCATCAGAGAAATGCAAATCAAAACCACAATGAGATAACATCTCACGCCAGTTAGAATGGTGATCATTAAAAAGTCAGGAAACAACAGGTGCTGGAGAGGATGTGGAGAAATAGGACCACTTTTACACTGTTGGTGGGACTGTAAACTAGTTCAACCATTGTGGAAGACAGTGTGGCGATTCCTCAAGGATCTAGAACCAGAAATACCATTTGACCCAGTCATCCCATTACTGGGTATATACCCAGAGGATTATAAATCATGCTTCTATAAAGACACATGCACGTGTGTTTATTGCGACACTATTCGCAATAGCAAAGACTTGGAACCAACCCAAATGTCCATCAATGACAGAATGGATTAAGAAAATGTGGCACATATACACCATGGAATACAATGCAGCCATAAAAAATGATGAGTTCATGTCCTTTGTAGGGACATGGATGAAGCTGGAAACCATCATTCTGGGCAAACTATCGCAAGGACAGAAAACCAACCACCACATGTTCTCACTCATAGGTGGGAACTGAACAATGAGAACACTTGGACACAGGATGGGGAACATCACACACTGGGGCCTGTCGTGGGGTGGTGGGAGGAGGGATAGGATTAGGAGATATACCTGATGTAAATGAGGAGTTAATGGGTGCAGCACACCAACATGGCACATGTATACATATGTAACAAACCTGCACGTTGTACACATGTACCCTAGAACTTAAAGTATATAAAAAAAAAAGATCTGCATAGTTTTGGATGGTATATATTTAACATGATCTTCCTGTTCTAGATAGATAAACCTCTAGATATTAGAGAGTTGTCAATTTTCACTCTTATAAACAATGCTGCAACCCTGTAAATATGAGTAAGATTTACGCTTACTTATCTCTATTTCAGAATAACTTTCTAGGGATATAGTACACTCAGCAGCCCTCCATATCCATGGGTTCTGCACTCATGAATCCAACTGTGATTAAGAATAGTAGGGAAAAAATGGATGGCTGTGACTTTGTTGAACATGCACAACCATTTTTTTCTTGCCATTATTCTTTAAACAATATAGTATAACGACTATTTTTACAGCATTTGCATCGTATTATTAGTAATCTGGAGATGATTTAAGTATACAGGAGGCTGTACAAAGGTTACATACAAAACTACACCATTTTATATAAGGGACTTGGGCATCCATGAATGTTGGTATCTTTGGGGGTGGGGGGCTCCTGGAATGAATCTCCCGCAGATATCCAGGGATGACTGTATTTCTAGTCCACAAGGTTGCTCATCATTGAGTAACTTCTTTTTACCTGCACATGGAGGTGTATTTTAAGTGTCCATTCAAATCAGTGATTGATGAGAATACACAGTGTATTTTTCCTCTAGGCCACAGAAACTAATTTCTGAAATGAAATTTTTTTAACTAATTGACTTTTTGCTAGTTTTTGAATAGCCCAAAGAAAATGGGATTATATTCTCAAATTCAAATCATCATCATCATCATCATCATCATCATCATCATAGCTTATGTTTTTGAGCACTTCCCACATACTTCCTTAAGCCCTTTGCTCAGAGATGGTCAGTATTTCATTGTCATAATAACCATAATCACCTTCACCCAAATTTGTCTGAAATGCACAACTGATTCCCAAGTTTATATAGAAATATTGATATTTTCTTTTTTTCTTTTTTTTTTTTTTTGAGACAGTCTCGCTCTTTGCCCAGGTTGGAGTGCAGTGGTGGGATCTCAGCTCACTGCAACCTCCGCCTCCTGGGTTCAAGAGATTCTCCTGCCTTAGCCTCTCGAGTAGCTGGGATTATAGATGCCTGCCACCACGCCCAGCTAATTTTTGTATTTTTAGTAGAGACTGGGTTTCACCATGTTGGCCAGGCTGGTCTGGAACTACTAAGTTCAGATGATCCACCTGCCTTGGCCTCCCAAAGTGCTGCGATTACAGGCATGAGCCACTGCACCTGGCCCTGATTTTCATTACTTTTCTTTCAGATTAGTTTATAGATTTTTAGATTTGAGGCTTAGAAGAAAATTCCTTAGTTTAGTATAGTAGAACTATTTTCCTGTATTTTATTTAAAGCTTAATAATACAAATTTTAGAAGTGCAAATATATTTTATTATATTCTTTATCTCTTTATCTTTTTTATTTGTAAGATAAAAGTAAAGATTTATCTCACAAATAAATGTTTATAAAAAATGAGATAGCAAAAGCAATTATTTTAGCCTGCCTAGGAGATTTAAAAATTGGTTCCACAGATCTGTAAGAATAAACACAAACAATTTTCTATAGACAAATTTTAAAGTATAATTTGAAGTACATCAGAAATACAGTCGTCTCCCCTTATCTGCAGTTTTGCTCGCTTTCCATAGTTTCAATTACCCGTGGTTAATCACAGCCTGAAAATATTAAATAGAAAATTTCAGAAATAAGCAGTTCATAAGTTTTAAATTGCTCACTATCCTGAGTAATGTGATGAAAACGCATGTCACCCTGCTCTGTCCTGCATGGGACGTGAATCATCCCTTTGTCCAGCATATCCATGCCCTATAAGCTACCCACCTATTAGTCACTTAAGTAGCCCTCTGGGTTATCAGGTGGGTTGTCATGGTATCACAGTGCTTGTGTTCAAATCACTCTTATTTCAATCAACAACGGCTCCAAAGTGCACAAGTAGTGATGCTGGCATATTGCTACAATTTTCTATTTTATTAGTGGTTCTTGTTGTTAATCTCTGTGCCTCATTTATAAAAGCAACTTCATCACAGGTGTGTATGTATAAGAAAAAAACATAGTACATATAGGGTTCAGCACTGTTTGCAGTTTCTGGCATCCACCAGGGATTTGGGGACTACTGCAGTCACTTTCTCCCAAAGTATCACCTCCATTTCTCACATCTGAGTTGTCACCATCAAAATACTCATTGTTTTGGGCCTACAAGCCTTTTAAAGTTCATTATTAAAGTTTAAATAGCCTTTTATGGGGATTCTTATCAGTTAGTGCCTTTTTCATTCATTTGTCCAGGATGTTTATTAAACCAGAACACCAGCACTCCCTGGACTAGGAAACAAGGAGCGCGCAGGCTGGGGCCCAGACTTTACACGACTCCTGAGGACAACCGACTCAGACGGGGTCCGAAGAAATTCAGATCGGTGAACGGGTGAACCACACAGAGAACTAGAAAAGGCTACGTCGGCCCACTTCACCATTTTGCCCTGAGATGGTTCTGTGGACTTAACAAGAAAAGGAAAAGGATAAAGCCTGTGCCAGAAGAAGTGGTTCAGGAGGTAAGGGTTTCTAAGATTGTGTATGGCTTTACAATGTATAGCTCCCTCCTCCAAGTACATTTCAGAGACAAATCCTGAGCAATAAAAAACCTTGAGCAAGCTGAAAGCAATAAAAATGTACTGGAGTGTGATAAAAAGGACATTTTGCCAATTTATAATTACACTCGTAACATATAAGCTGTTTCATACTTTACAAGTTGCGCTTGCTAGGAGTCAGGTCTGTGGGTGTATGTAATCTTTCCTCTCTATACTTCTGCATAAGCCTATTTTTCTTCAAAATTTTATAGCTGTTTGTGTAGTGACTCCAAATAAAAACAGTGAAAATACACTGATTATTTTTCAACTCTAAATACCCATTTTAAGTATAGCTGAAGAATGAAAGGATATAATCCTCCTATTGGTCCCTTGTTGCTAAGAAGCATTTCCGTTGCAGATTTTGAGTATTACATTCATTGAAAAAGTCTTATGCATATTTTATGGCATAATTATTTTTATTGTGGTAAGAAACTTAACATGAAATCTATCATCTTAAACAATACAGTACCATTAACTATAGGCACAGTTTTGTACAGCAGATCGCTAGAACTTGTTTAACTGAAATTTATGCCGAAAGAGATAGCAAGTGTTGGCAAGGATGTGAAAAAAAGGAACCCCTTTTGCACCATTGGTGGGAATGTAAATGGTGCAGCTGCAATGGAAAACATTATGGCAAATCCTCAAAAGATTAAAAATAGAACTATCATATGATCCAGCAATCTTACTTTCGGGTATATACACCCCCCCAATATAAAATGAAGATGTTAAAGAAATTTTGGCTCTCCTATGTTCACTGCAGCATTATCCACAACAGCCAAGATGTGGAAATAACCCAAATGTCCACTGATGAGTGGAATGGATAAACAAAATATGGTATAATTTTTAAAATCACAAACTGAGTTGGTCTAATGTCTTAAATTGGCATGTCATTTTCAGCTTGACATTCACACCTTGAAGATTCAGTTAAACACAGAATAGCAATCTGCATCTTTAATATCATCTCGGTGGGGCTCAGACTTTCCTGTCACTGAACTTTCTGTAGGTCCTCAGTGCTGTGAGGAGCTTAGAGGCCCAATAGCAACCTGTCCTCTGGGATTCCGTCTTCCAAGTTGGAGCAACTGGGAGAACAACAGGGGCCACTGGAACTGTCCAACAGAGTCCTGCAGCTGCAGGACAGCCATGGGGTAGATGGAGGACAGTCAGAATTCTCTGCTGCTTTCATTTCCCACAGAGCTGTTGTCCCCGTCTTCCTCCCCACAGTCAGTGCTGTGGGCTCACTTTGCAAACCACACAAGGACCGGCCTGTGAGAAACTTCCAGTAGAAAATGCTGCCACCCTGAGAAACCAGGACTTTCCAGAATCTTTCTGTCCACATGTCACCTACTTATAAACTGAGGGAGGCAGTGCTGGATTCTGTGGTGAGGCAGGGTTGGGGGGAAGGGTTTTTAACTTGGAAGATCTAAATAAACCAGAGTTCAAGACCTGTCACAATTCCAAGTATGATGTAAATCACTCATCCCCCTTGAATTTCCCATCTTCCTTTTGCAAAATAGAGGTAATGGTGATTACTCCTAGGATCTTATCTGAGGGAAGATGTATAGATATCAGTAAACATAATGCACTGTGGAAAATTCAAATGATTTCCACTTCAAGTACACTTTGGGATGAAGCAAGGTTGAAAGAAAATAAGGAAGACAAGGTTTTGTTTTTGTTTCTTGGGTCTTGCTCTAATAAATTCACAAAGGAGTTTGAAAGGTGATAGCGGCTGGGTGTTTCATAGCCAACAGGCCTACACATACCACAGAAACCACACAGCAAAATGTAAATTTTAAAATATGTTCCCTTCTTTTTAACTTTCAGCAAGC
The DNA here is from genome assembly GCF_000001405.40 of Homo sapiens. Classification (NCBI taxonomy): domain Eukaryota; kingdom Metazoa; phylum Chordata; class Mammalia; order Primates; family Hominidae; genus Homo; species Homo sapiens. The sequence continues at coordinate 61,410,293 of NC_000009.12, read as the reverse complement.
TTAACAGATTTCAAAATTACACTAAAACTCTCCCAGAGTTAAATGTTGTTTTTCCACCCTGGAAAAGGGAAATTAGATTGAAAAATAGAATATTAAAAAATAGGTAATAATGGAAGAAAATGCATTGGGTGGGGGCCTCTAACTACATACACTTTGGAAAAGGAAGATGTTTTCCTACTCTGTCTTTCTCGAAGAGTTGCGTCTGGTCCTACTCAAGTCTGCAGAGGGTCAGTTTCCTGTTCACTTGCTCACAGCAGCTTGCAGTCCTTCTCAGTCCCAACTTCTAATTTTATTCATTTTCACCCCAATGTAGAATTTGTTTCTCACAGTACTCATCAACGTAAGCCACGGTTCAGTCTTCCTGATATTTTATTGTGCAATGTATATTAAATACTGTATTACATTTTAAAATACGAGTTATGAGATGTTAGTCACATTCATTAATCTGCATGTGAAAGTACAACTAAAATGTGGGCACGGTGAGTCCCTGGGGCCGCAGTTCTCAGGGTTTATCGAGCACATGATTTCTTTCAAGGTGAATGTGATTTAACTTAAAAAATTTTGCTGTTTTTATAAAGGACAATCAGACTTCTCTGTATTATTTGGCATCGCTGCAGGGTTCAGACTTTGAATGAAGGCAGAAAATTAGCCTTCAGCATACAAAGTAAAGTGTCAATAATAAGAAGTAAGTGGTCACTAAAGCTAAAATCAGGAGGAAAAAAGCAGAAAGCAAAACCAAAGCAAATTCAATCCCAAAGCAAGTTTAAATGGGAAAATAAATTAAAAATTAAATTTTAAAATGACATAGCAAATTATAAATAGAAAGAAATGAGTCTAGTCGAGTTCTGCAGCCTCCAGCCTGGAGAAGGGTGGGGTGAGATGAAAACATTCAGACTTCCTTCCTTCCCTTCCTTCCCTCCCTCCCTCCCTCCCTCCCTTCCTTCCTTCTGGTGTGAACTGCACCAGCACCCTGCCCCTCACCCCTCTCACCTGCATCTCCTTTTCATCCTTTCTCCCTCTCTCAGTTGGTTCTCTGTTTGTGATAGTGTTTTAGGACCAACCACTTGGGTTCAGATTTCTTCAGAGGACAAAATGCCAGAGGGACTAGAAAGGAGGAGGGGGTTCCTATGACTCAGAGGGAAAAGAACTTGGGCCTGGAACTAAGTCTCCTGCCCCTTCTGCATGAAAGTGCCCTGGAGTCCTCAGCTGAGCAAATCCATATTCCTTTAAAAGGCAGGAAATGCATTTTGCCCAGCACTAAACTCGTCCTCACTGATAAATTCCAAACCTGAGGGGGAACAGCTGTGCCTGATCATCGCCCTCACTCCCACCAGGGAGACAGAATCCATAGAATCCACAGCGTGCCAAACAGTTTGGGATTAATGTTTCTGTGTGGAACCCTGAAGAGAGACACGTTCTGGGCTGGGATGGCAGCAAAACCACATCACTCCAGAATTCCAATCAGAGACCCGAGAGCAGCCATTCCCCCAGGCCTCTCATCCCTGTCATCCCCGGACATGTCCTCAAATCGTATGCCGTTGATCCTCAGGTCAATCTGTCCTTTTCCGGGCTCTCTACACTCCCATCCACCCATGCACTCCCCACTACTCTTCTTCCTTCCCCACAGTTTTTTTTCTGTGCACTCTTTGACCCTCATAAAGAAGGGAAGGGAAAAGGAGGGGAGGGGAAGGGAAGGGAGGGAAGGGAAAAAGAAAGAAGAGAGGGAAGGGGGATGAGGTTGAGGGGAGGAAAGAAGGAAGAAAAAAGACTACTTTAATCTTATCTGAGAATATTCTGGTGTAGCCTAGAAACTGAGACTGGCTCCCCAGGTGGGCAGCCCAAGGTTTCTGGTACAGGCTCTGCTTGTGTGACATGAGCTCATTACTGAGCCTCTCTAAAGTTGTATTTCTTCATCCCAAGTTAATGATGAAAAAGTAAATAATAGAATGCAGCTAAAATTCTAAAAATCTCACCTGGTACACAATAAATACTCAGTTATATTGGGTGTCAGACACTGATCTACACCTTGATTAAAACTCAGGTCTTTCTTTTGGACACCCCTGCCCTTGTAACACTCAGGAATGCAGTTTCCTCATTTCCCCTCATCTTATTTGTGGTGGGGTCTGGACACATTTTCACCGATCTCCTTTGATTTCATAACATTGCACTTCCTCACAAAAGTAACTGAACACACACAACGAGAAAGTTATCTCTTCTCTTAAATGCCATTTGACTATAGCTCCCTCTACCCTTCCTGGCCATTGTAATTCATTTTCTAAACTCTGAGTCATTCCCTTACACTTATCACCATCTCCTCTATCCCAAAGCCACAATATGAACATCCTTGAGGAATACCAATAAGATCCTTTGACTTCAAGTTCCCTGATGCAAATGAGCTCCAGCTGCTTCACTTCAGCCTCATTCCCACGGCCAACCTCATCACCACCTGGGATGGGGGCACCATCTTTGAAATCTTATTTAAACTCTGTGTTGACTGTACACCTCTAGATAGTCCCAGATCTCTCACTCCCACACTATAGCTTCTTTGACATGCTGACTCTTTCTGATTTTCGTTATCAGCCTCTCTTGATCTAACTGTCCTCTCCACATTGCCCAAACAGCATGGTACCATTTTTTCCAGACTCTTTTGCCAATTTGTTAGCATTTATGTAGCCAAATCCTCAATGTCAGCATGTCAGCATACCTGCAGATGCTAATTCTAGGTCAGTCTTCTCAGTTGCCTTCTCAGGTTCTGCAAACAGCTGACTATTGCTGGGGAAAACCCCCCAGCTGTGCGGGTGGGGTCCCTATTCATGGTCTCCATCCTGGGGTCTGTATGCTACGAGGACAATGGTCCTTAGCCTTGAATGAATATGGGAATCATCAGGTGGATTCTTTAACATACTGCTTAGTTCCTACTCTCTTGAGGTTTGGATTTAAGTGGTCTGGGCAGTGGTCTGGGCAGGTGTTTCCAGTGTAGAAATGTACTATTACTAGGGACTCTTGTTGTTCCCTGTCAAAATCTTTTTCCATTCCACATCCTCTACTACACACACATAAACATTTCCTACCTTAATTCCACTTTTCCCTTATCACTTTTTTGTTTGTTTGTTTGTTTTTGAGACAGGCTCTTGCTTTGTCACCCAGGCTGGAGTGCACTGGCTCGATCACAGCTCATTGCAGCCTCGATCTTCCAGACTCAAGCAATCTTCCTTAGTTTTCCGAGTAGTTGGGACTACAGGCACACACCACAACTAGGTAATTTTTGTATTTTTTTGTAGAGACAGGGGTCTCACTGTGTTGCCCAGGCTGGTCTCAGACTCCTGCACTCAAGGGATCTGCCTGCCTCAGCCTACCAAAGTGTTGGGATTACAGGTATGAGCCACAGCACCGGCTCCTTCATCACTCATATCACAGAGCTTGAATCTTCTGAACATCAAGTAGATAAGAACAGCCATAAACTCCCTTTCAGAAATTTAAAATAAAGCATATATAATTAGCTATTTTCCTCCTGTTTCAGAAAACATCATTGTTTTTCAGTGTCTTCTGTGTTCTGGATCCTTTTCCCTGCCATCCCTCTGGGACGTTGCCCCTCAGCTACTCTGTGAGTTTCTTCTGTCTCCAAGCTGTTGATGGGCATGGGAGTTCCACCAGCATCCCTGGCAGTGACCAGGCTCTAGTCACTCTAGCTTCCACTTCACACTGTCCCCTGCCCGTGTATGTCCCTCTTGCTACTGCTGTCCCACTCTCTTTTTCTAAGCATCCCGACTTCTACAGAAAGTATTCATCATTTGCTCTCTCCTTTTCATTAACTCATTTCCTCTCCTCAGTCTTCTGCAATCAGGCATCTACTCTTATCCATTCATCAATTTACTGATGAACTCAGATCTATCACTAATTTATACAGATTATTTTGTTTTCATTTTCACAATAATCCTATAACGTATGTTCTATAATAACACCTATTATATAGATGAAGAAACAAGGTACAAAGTGGTTAATCAGCTAATCCAAGTTCATACAGCTAGCAAACAGTGAACCCAGTATTTGAACCCAACTGATTTGACTCAAACTCTGCATTCTTACCTACGTCCTGCTTTGTCTTCCAGTTCACCTGACATTTGCTTGCTCTGATGACGAAACTCTGCCCTACCTGATTTGACATTCCTAGCATTCAAGTCAGTCTTGGGTTAAATAGCTGAAGTGGGACTATTATTTCCAGACTCCACTGTTAAAATGCACAAAGAAGCCAGAACAGAGGGAGTGTGCTGATGGTTTTCACTAATTATTTTCCTCTACCACATTAGCTTGGGTACCAGATCCAGCCACGTTTTTGGTGCCACAACCCAAGGAGCTGGAGGGTAAGGATCCACAGAGGGGAAGGGATAGAGGAGATGAGAGGAAGGAGAGGAAAGGAGAGGAGAGAAGAGAAGAGAAGAGAAGAGAGAAAGGGTGAGGATGACCAGCTCAGTACCCAGTGTTCTGCAGCTCTGGAAGGTAGGCCTGCCTTGACCTAAGATGTGATCCTACAGGACCTCTGGCAACCAGAAGCTCCAAACAATGCCCAAAGCAGGTAACATGAAAAAAGATTTGGGAAGGATAAGAAATGCATATTCCTGAACCTGAACTCAGAGGTAGCTACAGCTTACTCTGCCCGGTCACAGCACACAAATGCAGTTTCCTTTCAGAAATAATTTTCGCAAAAGATTTTGTGTCATAGCTTAAGGAATTTAGCTCAGATGAAGAAAAAAAATCTTAGTATTAAGATTCTAAATAGAACAATAAAAGAAACCCATAGTACAAATTAATGAGATGTGATAGGGCTAATTTCTCTGTTTAGAGATGTTTTAACTGTGACTTGACAATACTGACATGCAAGCTCTTCAGGAGAACCTAGTTTTCATTTGAGCTTGCTTAATTAATTACCGAAGTAATGAATTTATTCTGATTCAAGGGTAGACAACTGATTGTTAATGTAAATTTATTGGCCGTTTAACTTTTTTTATTATTTTGGAGAAGCAAGGGTGGAAAAAATACCACCAGAGTAAATTTACATTGTGTTCTTGGGATATTTTTCAGTAATTTTTGCAAACTTCCTTACAATAAATAGAAGCCATTCCTAAACCTGAATTTATTTTTCCTTTCAGTCAGAAGTTTAGCTAATAAAACTTTTGCCAGAGTGTAGCCCAATAGCTCCCCTGGGAACTCTTTCAACTGCGTAATTTTTTCTCTCTCTTGTAAAAAGAATGACATGGTGTCTTTAAAATGTTCAAGGCTCTGAAAGAAAGACAAGCCATTTGATATGAATGATTAATAAGGACATTAAGGAATACAAAAGAGGAGTTTAAATATAAAAAAAATTCTCATTTTCAGAATGCAGATCAAATCTGACTTCTCTTCTATTTTTTCTGTTTCACAGACAAAATCCTGACTGAGGTTAAGTGCTAATGTTTTTAATGCCCATCTTTTATTCTCATGCTTGACACCAATCGGCTACTTCAGAACTAGTGTCTTGACACTTGAATCTTTTCCACAGCACCAAAGGTTATTCCACAAGGACATCTGCGAAAGGAAGAATATATTTCTAACGCAATAAACAAAGGATTTTATGCAAAGCCTATTTAGACAGGAAATGGAAACCCGGATGGCAGAGAAGCCATGTTGTTCAGGTCCTGCTATTTATGAGGGTGAGTTTTCCTTGAGAAACGCATGTCTCTTTATAAGCAGAAACCTCTGTAAGGTAATCCAGCAGTGACGGAATGAGATATAATATTACGTTTTAATCAAAAAGAGAGTCATTAAGAATATGGCATTATTATTTATATTTATTCTTATCCATATTATTTTTTAAAGTATTAGGAAAATATTCATTGTGGAGATGATTTAAGAATCTATCCATATGAGGAAATAAAGTATTACCTGAAAGGGGTCCCGATCCAGATCCCAAAAAAGGGTTCTTGGACCTTGTGCAAGAAACAAATTGGGACAAGTCCAGAAAGTGAAAGCAAGTTTATTAAGAAAGTAAAGGAATGAAAGAATGGCTACTCCAGAGGCAGAGCAGCAGCATGGGCTGCTCAAATAAATATAGTTATTTCTTTATTATATGCCAAACAAGGGGTGGATTATTCATGAGTGTTCCAAGAAAGGGGCAGGCAATTCCCAGAACTGAGGGTTCCTCCCCACTTTAGACCACATAGCATAACTTCTGGACGTTGCCATGGCATTTGTAAACTGTCATGGCGCTTGTAAACTGTCATGGCGCTGGTGGAAGTGTCTTTTAGCATGCTAATGAATTATAATTAACTTATACTGAGCAATAAGGATGACCAGAGGTCACTCTCATAGCCTTCTTGGTTTTGGTGGGATTTGGCCAGCTTCTTTACCGTATCCTGTTTTATCAGCAAGGTATTTGTGACCTGTATCTTACGCCGACCTCCTGTCTCATCCTGTGACTAAGAATACCTTAACCTCCTAGGAATGGAGCCCAACAGGTCTCAGCCTCAGTATTCCCAGCCCCTATGCAAGATGGTTCAAATGCTTCTGATAAAGGGACTCATATATTAGGAATTCACAATCTGAAATGAGCAATAATATTCTGAATGTAAAGATAGCCTAAATGACATGTTTTAGCCAGTGGCATATAAAATTAGATTTGTCATGAATTGATGTCATACGTATAATTTGGGGGAAAGGCCAGCATAGAATAATTGTAAGATAGAATGGAAAATAACTGAGTTTCAAATACTGGCAGGCAAAGAGTAGGCAAGCCATTGTAGCTCATGGTAATTCAGAAAGGCATCTGGAAATGGAGCCATCTCAGAAGTCGTTTACATGACAGAAGAGAAATTAGTAAATATTTCTGAGGTGGAGACCAGTCGGCAAACACATGGCTTTACTCTTGGTCAAAGGACCTAATTCAGAGGTGATGAGATGACAAACGTTTGGGGGTGATACCTGACACCAAAGGAAAGCAAGAACTGGAGAAATGGTCATGAGAGTAAAGATGCAAAACTCTAGTGACTGACTAGTAGCAGCAACTTAGAAACCGAGTCAGCAGCTGAAATGCAAAAGGAAGCCATCCTAGAAGAAAGCCGGGTTAAAGTCGCAGACAGAGTGGGCTGCTCCAACAGCAAAGCCATACATTTTGAGACAGCGATGCGCTGCCTTTCTTCACAAGGTTTACCCAGCACACCCACCCAAACCATGGCAGACTTGTATTGATGCATTTTCCCCTTCCAAATGGATCCCCTGTGAGAACTCTGGGAGTCTATCAACACAAAGGTTGATGAGAAAGTAGAGGACTGAGCAAAGCCAACTTACTTTGAACTTCAATACTACTTTAGAGCACAATAAAATATTAAGATTTACATCATCCTGCTTCCTTATTGTAGATTACCCATTGTTCAGTCTACTTTGGGATTTCTTCATTGTAGCTTGTTGCAGCACTTCTGTGCGTGTGTGTGTGTGTGTGTGTTTGCATGAGAAATAGTTACACCATGTGAATTTAAAAATGAGGAGAACTTAGATAGGAACTTGTTAGTCTCAACTGCAGCTGCCCCTGTGGAAAACTGGTGTTGCCCTCCCTTTACAGTTTTGCTGCAGAAATGGGTGATTTTAAACCTGAAAGTCAAAGTATATTTATTAGCTTGATCATATGAAATTGCTGTTTTTGTAGGTCAAGATACTTAGATATCAGCACATTCACAAGGTTCAGCCTTATAGTGCGTGACTGGATTCCACATCCACCCTGCATTTTGTAATCGAAGGGGAGGAAGCTCACAGGTGTTGAGCACCTTGTACTTGGCCAGGTGTTTGTTAGGGGCTATTTTAGAAACAGCACTCAGTTAGTTACTCTTAGCCAGGTGCTGTCTGCACCACATCACGTGATGGTCAAGGACTGATGACCCAGGCCATGAATAAGTATCATTCATTCAACATTAAACACGAGAAAAAAAGATTCATTAATTTAAAAAACACCACTAAAATAAATATTACAATTAGAATTTGAAGGCTCCTATTTCTTTCCATTGGGTTATATCCACTAATAAATGTTACAAAGTTAGGATGACACTTAACTTGAGATACAGTTTTGTAGCCGTTGTTTTTTTTTAATCTAATAAGCTCCTTCTGTGCTATACCAAATGACCTCCCTAGCTGGGACTCCTCCTGACATCCAGGCTGTTCCTTCGCATTTGAAAGCCCACGAAAGTCTTTCTTCTTACCAGTACACTGATACCCACACATCCCAGCCACTGCCCTTCACTCTCACATCAAGATAAGGTCTTGATGTTCACTTTCAGGTTTTATATCAGTATACTGAGCATTAGCGATTGGCTTTCATCCTGGAGAAATTTCAATGGGAAAAAGAATTGCATTAAAATCACTACTTATTATTATTTTTTACGTTTATTTCAATTTGTTTTTAATTGAAAAGCCATACGATTCACATAGTTCAAACCACATCTGCATCCATTTTATATTTTTATCCCATTCCCATTACCCAGAGGGGAAAAATGCTATGATTTTTCTTATTTTTCTTATGTGTCCTTCTAGAAATATTTCATATTTACATGAGTATATATATATATATATATTCATTGTGGGAATTTCAAATGGGAGAATATCTTACCTTATTCTTTGATTTTAGAAAAATATCTTGGAAGTTCATTCACAGTAAGTATGTTTACCTCATTATTTCTCAAGGCTGCATGCTATTCCAGAGTATAAATGTACCATGACCACTGAAAGAGAACTGTACTAACATATTTACCATTATATTCATAAAATGTTAATCTCTTCATGCACATATGCATATATTACACTATGACTGTGGGATAAATTCCTAGAAGTAGCATTGCTGCTTAACGTAAACTATACATTGAGAGAAACTGAAAGCATCACTCTTTTTGCATTACCTCCTTTCACTACACTGCAAGTTGATCATTTTTTGGAACTTTAATTTTATAGATAGTGCCAAATGGTTCTTCAAGAAATCATATTCATAAAAAGGCACCAGTTCCTGAAATTGAATCATCTGAGTTTTACCTTTTCATGTGCACACTTGAAACAGACCTAAAACATTCCCAGATGTGGTGAGGGGTTGTGAGTAAAGATTCTGCAGCCAGGCCACTTGGGTTCAAATTATTGTGCTACCACTAACTAGCTCTATAATTGGGGCAAATAAATAAAGCCTGTCTTTTTGCTTTCCTTGTTTTCATCTGGGAAGAATATTAGTATCTAGCTCATAGAGTTCTGCGAGGATTTTAATATGTACAAAGCACAAAGAATCATGTTTGGTGCACAGTAAGCACTCAAGATACATAACGTCTTCATACTTAAATTTGTTCTTAAAACTGATTATTTTTAACCTGAGCCTTATGCTGAGCAATGATATCCATAATATTGCATGTTTGCATACTATTTAGATTTTAAGAGACTTTAAATTTAATGCATTAACTATGAAAGTACAGTTGAAAGTAATGTCCTAAGCAACACAGCCTCAGTAAATGTTTTAGTTGTTCTAATCAATTGAGTAGTACCTCACTGCTGTTTTAATTTGCATTTCTTTAACTTATAAACAAGGTTGAATATTATCTCATGAATTTACTATTATTATTATTATTATTATTATTATTATTATTATTATTATTATTTGAGACGGAGTCTTGCTCTGTCACCCAGGCTGGAGTGCAGTGACGCAATCTCGGCTCACTGCAAGCTCCACCTCCCGGGTTCACAGCATTCTCCTGCCTCAGCCTCCTGAGTAGCTGGGACTACAGGCGCCCGCCACCACACCTGGCTAATTTTTTGTATTTTTAGTAGAGATGGGGTTTCACCGGGTTAGCCAGGATGGTCTCGATCTCCTAACCTCGTGATATGCCCACCTCGGCCTTCCAAAGTGCTGGAATTACGGATGTGAGCCACCGTGCCAAGCATTATCTCATAAATTTATAAACTATTTTTTCTTCATGTGGAATGCTTATCAATCCTTCTCAATTTTACATTGCTTTTTTTTAATCTTTATCCATTGATGTATAAGAGCACTTTATAAAAAAACTGTCATGTATATTAAAATATTATTTCCCATTCATAAATTGATATCTTCTGGTAAGTTTCAAATAATTTCATTTATTAGTCCCTTTACTGTGGTCTTGGTTTTACATCTTGCATAGAAATACATGCCCGCTCCCACATTATATATGCAAACCTCTCCCACAATCTTCTAGAACTGTTTCTGTGGCTACTTTAAAATCTTTAATTCACCTACAATCTACTTTGATGCAAGGAATAGGGTAATAGTCCAGTTTTATTAATTTTTTCCTGAGGGATACCTAGTTTCCCCAGTACCATTTATTAATTTTTTTCTTACTAATTTAAAATGCCACATCTTTTATCAGCATATATATTTGAATTTGTTAGTGAATACTATTTTTTCCACTGCTATTAATATCAAGCATACTAAAATATAGAATCAACCTTTATTATGTACTTTTTTTTTTTTTTGAGACAGAGTCTCACTCACTCTGTCACTCAGCCTAGAGTGCAGTGGCGCAATCTTGTCTCACTGCAAACTCCACCTCCAGGGTTCAAGAGATTCTCCTGCCTCAGCATACCAAGTAGCTGGAATTACAGGAGCACGCCACCACACCCAGCTAATTTCTGTATTTTTAGTAGAGACAGGGTTTCACCACGTCAGCTAGGCTGCTCTCGAACTCCTGTCCTCAGGTGATCTGCCCAACTCAGCCTCTCAAAGTGCTGGAATTACAGGCGTGAGCCACCGCGTCCAGCCTCTAGGTATTTTTCTAATTGGTAAGACTAACTCCTTTTTCAATTTCTTGTTGCCAATTGTACTGCTTATCCTTTTATGAAAATTAATTTTTTTAAATGTGACGAATAAAATATGTATGCATTATGTACAACTTGATGTTTTGAAACATGCATACATAATTGAATGAGTACATCAAGCTAATTAAATATGCATTACCTCACATACTTATTTTTGTGGTGAGAAAACTAAAAATCTATTCTCAGCAATTTTCAAGAACACAGTACTTTGTTATTAACTATAGTCACCATTTTGTGCAATAGATATCTTGAACTTATTCCTCCTACATAACTGAAATTTTGTATCCTTTGACCAACATCTCCCCAACTCCCAAACTCGCTAGTCCCTGGTAACAACTATTCCACCTTCTGCTTCTATGGGCTCAACATTTTTAGACTCCACATATAAGCTGGATCCTGTAGTATTGGTCTTTCTGTGCCTGACTTATTACACCGAACATAATGTCCTCCAGGTTCATCTATGTTCTCACAAATAAATAGGATTTCTTTTATTTTATGGCCAAATAGCATTCCATTGTGTATGTACACCACATTTTCCTTATCCATTCATCCACAGATGGACACTTCAGTTGATTCCAAATCTTGGCTATTATGAATAATACTGCAATGAACATGGTTGTACAGATATCTAAAAGACATACGGATTTAATTTCCTTTGGATACATACACAATAGTGGGATTGCTGAATCATTTGGTAATTCTATTTTTGATTTTTTGAGGAACCTCCCTACTGCTTTCCATAATGGATATACAAATTTACATTGCCACCAACAGTATACAGGGATCCTCTTTTCTTCACATCTTCATCGACACTTGTTATCTTTTGTCTTTTTGATAATAACCATTCTAACAAGTACGAGGTGATATCTCATTGTGGTTCTAACTTGCATTTCCCCGATGATTTGTGATATTGAGTATTTTTTCATATACCTGTTGGCCACGCATATATCTTTCTTGAGAAATGTCTTTTCAGGTCTTTTGCCCATTTTTAAAAAGCACAGTTATTTGTTTTCTTGCTATTGAGATGTTTGAGTTGCCTATGTATTTTAAATATTAACCCCTTATCAGATGTATTGTTTGAAAATATTTCCTCCGATCCCATAGGTTGTCTTTTTACTCTGCTGATTGTTTCCTATGTGGTGCAGAAAATTAGTTTGAAATAACCTAATCTGTCTAATTTTGCTTTTATTGCCAATGCTTTTGGGGTTGTATCCAGAAAATGATTTCCTAGACCAATATCATGGAGCTTTTCCCCTGTATTTTCTCTTAGTAGTTTCACAGTTATGGGTCATAAGTTTAACTCTTTAACCCATTTTGTGTTGATTTTTGCATATAGTGTGAGATAAGGGTCTAATTTCATTCTGTTAAGCATGTATATCCCATTTACCCAATACCATTTACTGAAGAAACTAAACTTTCTTCATTGTGTATTCTTAGCACCTCTGTCAAAAATCAACAGACAATAAATGCCTGGATTTAGTTCTGGGCTCTCTATTGTGTTCCACTGGTCTATGTATGTGTCTGTTTTTATGTCAGTACCATGCTATTTTCATTGCTACAGCTTTGTAGTACATTTTGATGTCAGATAGTGTGATACCTCCAGCTTTGTTCTTTACGCTCAAGATTGCTTTGGTTATTGGAGGTCCTTTGTGGTTACACACAAATTTTAGGATCATTTTCTCTATTTATGTGGAAAATGTCATTAGAATTTTCATAGGTAATGCACTGAATCTGTAGATCACCTTAGGTATTATGAATATTTTAATATTAATTCTTCCAATCCATGAACATGGGGATATCTTTCGATTCCTGTCATCTTTAAGTTCTTTCATCAATATTTTATAGTCTACTATAAAATTCTGTAAACCTCAGTGTACAACTCTTTCACCACCTTGGTTAAATTTATTCATAAGTATCTTATTGGATTATTTTCTTGATTTCAGACACTTCATTATTAGTATATAGACCACATAACTGATTTTTCTGTTGATGTTGTACTGTAACTTTATTGAATTTATTTATTAGTTATTTGGGGTTATTTTCTTTTGAGAGTCTTGCTCTGTCATCCAGGCTGGAGTGCAGTGGCACTATCACAGCTCACTGCCGCCTGAACCTCCTGGGCTCAAGTGATCCTCCCACCTCAGCCTCCTGAGTATCTGGGACCACAGGCACATGCCACCATGCCCAGCTCGTTGTTTATTTTTTTGTAGAAATGGGGGTCTTGCCATGTTGTCCAGGTCTCAAACCACTGGAGTCAAGTGATCTTCCTACTTTGGCCTCCCAAAGTGCTGAGATTACAAGCATAAGCCATCATGCCTGGCCTGAAATTTATTCATTAGTTCTAATAATTTTTTGTTGAAGTCTTTAGGGCTTTCTATATATAAGATCATGTCATCTGCAAAGAGGGACAATTTAAATTCTGTTTTCTTCAAATTTGGATGTTTTTTCCTTCTTTTTCTTGTCTAATTGCTCTGGATAGAACTTTCAGTACTGTGTTGAAAGAAGTGGTGAGAGTGGGCATCCTTGTCTTGTTTGGATCTCAGAGGAAGAGTTTTCAACTTTTCACCGCTGAATAAGATGTTAGCTGAGGGTTTGTCATATGTGACCTTTATTTTGTCGAGCTATATTGTCCTCTTTACACCCAATATGTTGAGAGATTTTAGAATAAAAGGTTGTTAGAGATTTTGTCAAATGCTTCTGCTGTGTCCATTGAGATAATCACATGTTTTTTGTCCTTTGTTCTATTAACATGATATGTTACATTTATAGATTTGCCTATATTGGACCATCAATTCATCCCACAGATAAATCTCACTTGATTATCATGAATGATCTTTCTAATATGCTGTTGAATTTGGTTTGCTAAAATTTCATAGAGTTTTTGCATTTATGCTCATGAGGATATTGCCCTATAATTGTCTTTTTTTGTAGTGTACTTTCTGAGTTTGGTATCAGGATAATGCTGGTTTTATAAAATGAGTTTGAAAGTATTCCCTTCTCTTCCATTTTTTGGAAGTGTTTGAGAATAATTAGTATTAGTTCTTTAAATGCCTCGTAAAATTCAGCAGTGAAGCCATCAGGGCCTAGGTCTTTATTTAATTAGAGCTTTTTACTACTGATTCAATTTTATTGCTTATTATTGGTTTGCTCAGATTTTCTTTTTTTTATGGTTCAGTTTTGGCAGGTTGTATATGTCCAGAAATTTATCCACTTCTAGGTTGTCCAATTTGTTGATGTATACTTATTCATAGTAGTCTGTTAAGATCCTTTGTATTTCTGTAATATTGGTTGTAATGTTGCCTCTTTCATTTCTGATTTTGAGACTTCTTTTTTCTTAAAGATTTGTCTATTTTGTTTATATGTTATATTTTTATATATATTTATATATTTTTAAAAACCTGACTTTTAGTTTTATGGATTTTTTAATTGTTTTTCTAGTCTGTATTTTATTTGTTTCTGCTCTGATCTTTATTATTTCTTTCCTTCTTTAACTTTGAGCTTAGTTTGTTCTTGTTATTCTAGTTCCTTGGGGTGTAATGTTTGGTTGTTTATTTGATATCTTTCTTCCTTGCTGATGTAGGCCATTATTGCTATAAACTTAGAATTGCTTTTGCTGTATCCCATGTGTCTTGATATGGCATGGGTCAATTTTTGTTTGTCTAAAGACATTTTAAAATTTCCCTTTAAATTTCTTCTTTGACCCACTGGTTGTTCAGGAGCATGTTGTTTCATTTCCATGTATTTCTGAATTTTTTTTCTTTTTTTTTTTTTTTTTTGAGACAGTCTCGCTCTGTCACCAGGCTGCAGTGCAGTGGCATGAGCTTGGCTCACTGCAATCTCTACCTCCTGGGCTCAAGCAATTCCCCTACCTCAGCCTCCCAAGTAGCTGGGACTGCAGGCGTGCACCACGCCCAGCTGATTTTTGTATTTTAGAAGAGATGGGGTTTCATCATGTTGTCCAGAATGGTCTCGATCTCCTGATCTCGTGATCTGCCCACCTTGGCCTCCCAAAGTGCTGGGATTACAGGCGTGAGCCACCACGCCCAGCCAAATTTTCCGAAATTCCTTCAGTTACTGATTTCTAGAATCATACCATTGTGGTCAGAAAGTATAACTGATACGATTTCAATCTCCTTAAATTTATTAAGACTTGTTTTGTGGCCTAACATATGATCTATCCTGGAGAATGTTCTCTGTGTGCTTTTGAAAAAGGTGTCTTCTGCTGCTGTTGGATGCAATGTTCAGTTTATGTCTGGTAGGTCCATTTGGTCTAACACATAGTTTAAGTCTAATTTTTCCTTACTGATTTTCTGTCTGGATGAGCTGTCTATTGCTGAAAATAGGATATAGAATTTCCCTCCTATTAAGTCCCCCTCCCTTCAGATCTGTTAGTATTTGCCTTATATATTCAGATATTCCATCATTTGGTGCACACATATTTACAAGTGTTACATTCTCTGGGTTAACTTATCCCGTTATCCTTCTTCTTTTTTTTTTTTTTTTTTTTTTTTTGAGACGGAGTCTTGCTCTGTGGCCCAGGCTGGAGTGCAGTGGTGCAATCTCAGCTCACTGCAACCTCCACCTCCTGGGTTCAAGTGATTCTCTTGACCCAGCCTCCTGAGTAGCTGGGATTACAGGTGTGTGCCACCATGCCCGACTAATTGTTTTGTATTTTTTTAGTAGAGATGGGGTTTCACCACGTTGGTCAGGCTGGTCTTGAACTCCTGACCTCATGATCCACCCACCTCGGCCTCTCAAAGTGCTGGGATTACAGGTGTGAGCCACTGCGCCCAGCCCCCTTTAGCATTACATACTGACTTTGTCTCTTGTGGCAGTTTTGGACTTAAAATCTATTTTATCTGGTATAAGTACAGCTACTTCTGCTCTTTATTGGTTTCCTTTGCATGGAGTATCTTTTTTCCATCCCTTTGCTTTCAGTCTGTGTGTGTCCTTATAAGTGAAGTGAGTTCCCTGTGTGTAGCACAGAGCTGGGTCTGGTTTTTATAATCCATTAAGTCACACTATGTCTTCTGATTGAATAGTTTAATTTATTTACATTTAAGGTAATTGTTGCCAGGTAAAAATTGACTACAGTCATTTAGTTCATTCTTCTCTGGCTTTGTTTCCTGACTATAGCCCTTTAGTTCATTCTTTCTAGCTTTGTTTTCCTTTGTTCCTTCCTTCTCTTTCCGTCTTCCTTTGTGATTAGGCAATTTTCTATAGTGGCATGCTTTAATTCCTTACTTTGTATTTTCTGTATATCTAGTACAGGTTTTTGCTTTGTGGTTACCAGGAGGCTGACATAAAATATCTTAGGGTTGCAGCAAGTTTTTTTAACTTGAATACAACTTAACCATGATCACACACAAAAATTCAACATTTTTACCCACCCACACTTTGTTTTTGATGCTTTTTATATTGTGTAACCCTTAATGAATTATTGCAGCTTTAACTATTTTTAATAGTTTGTTTTAACCACTGTAATAAATGTTACTTAAACACTACCACCACAGTTTTAAAATTTGACTTACTTTTGTACTTACTTTTGACTTAAACTTTTTGTACTTACTTTTACTAGTGAGTTTCAAACTTTCTTATATTTTTGTGTTACTAATTAACATCCTTTTCTTTCAGCCTGAAGAACTTCCTTTAGCATTTCTTGTAAGACACTTCTGAGAGTAATGAACTCTTGACTTTGTGTGTGTGTGTCTCTGCAAAAGTCCTTTTCTCTTTTCCTTCTGTAGAAGAGCTTTGCTGTGTATTCTTGGTTGACAGTTTTTGTTATGTTTTGTTTTTTTCCTTTCAGCACTGGAATACATCATCCCGCTCTCCCCTGGCCTGTAAGGTTTCTGCTGTGATGTCTGCTTCTAGTATTAATGGAATTCCCTTATATGTGACATGCTTCTTTTGTCTTGATGCTCTTTTGCTGCAGAATACTCTTTTTGTCCTTGAATTTTCAAAGTTTGATAATAATATGTCTTGGTGTAGTCTTGCTTGGATTGAATCTGATTAGACACCTTTGACCTTCCTGTGTATGAAAATGTAAATTTTCCCCCAGATTGATAAAACATTTTCTGCCTGCCTTCCTGACTGCCTTTTTTTCCTTCCTGTCTTACTTTCTTCTTTGCTCCCTCCCTCCTTCCTTGTTTCTGCTACTGTTTCCTCTCTCTCTCTATCCCTCTATCTCTTTCTTTACAATAAAAACTTGCTCTATTAGCCAGGCTGGAGTGCAATAGCATGATCATAGCTCACTGCAACCTCAAACTCCTGGGCTCAAGCGACTCTCCCACCTCGGCCTCCCAAAGCGCTGACATTATAGGTATGAGCCACGACACCCAGCCTATTGTTTCTTTAACTAAACTTTCTAGAACTTTGTCCCTCTATTCTCCTTTTTCAGTGTCCATACTTTTAAGTTTTGTTCTTTTGATGCTTTCCTGTAAGTTCCATAAGCATTCTTCATTACTTTATATTCTTTTTTCTCCAATTGTATAATTTCACTAAACTGTCTTTGAGTTCAGAGCCTTTCTTCTGCTTCATTGATTCTGCTGTTGACATTCTCTATTGCAATTTTCATTTCATTCATGCATTTCTCAGCTCCAGAATTTGTTAGTTTTTTTGTATAATTTCAATCTTTAATTTTCTCATTTTATTCATTTAATGACTTACTAATTTTTGAATTATTTTTCCTTTTTTAGATAAACAGAAATTTACTTGTAACAGTTCTGGAGACTGGGATGCTGAAGATCAAGGTGGTGGCATCTGTGAAGGCCTTCTTGCTGTATCATAACAAGGCAGAAGGCATCACATGGGTGAGAGAGAGACAAAAGTAGGGTCCTTTTATAAGAAACCCACTCCCTCATAACATAAATTTTGAGGGACACATTCAAACCAGAGCAGTCCCAGTTCCAGATCTCTAGTTTTTTCCAACATTTATTTTAGATTCAGGAGGTACATACGCAGGTTTGTTACCTAGGTATATTGTGTAATGCTGAGGTTTGGGGTATGAATGATCCCTTCACCCAGGTACTAACTAAACAGTTAGTTTTTCAACCACTGTCCCACTCCCTCCTTTTCCCCTCCAGTAGTCTCTAGTGTCTATTGTTGCCATCCTTATATCCATGAGTTATCAATGTTTGGCTTCTACGTACAAGTGCAAACATGCAGTATTTGATTTTCTGTTCCTGTGTTAATTCACTTGGGATAATGGCCTCCAACTGCGTCCATGGTGCTACAAAGGACATGATTTCATTACTTTTTATGGCTGCATAGTATTCCATGGTGTGTATGTATGTGTATATATATATATATATATATATATATATATATATATATACACCATATTTTCTTTATTCAATCCACTACTGATAAGCACCAAGGTTGATTCCATGTCTTTGCTATTGTGAATACTGCCATGATGAACACACAAGTGCATGTGTCTTTTTGGTAGAATGATTAGATTTCTTTTGGATATCTACCCAGTAATGGGATTGCTAGGTTGAATGGTAGTTCTCTTTTAAGTTCTTTGAGAAATCTCCAAATTTTTTTCCACAGTTGCTGAACTAATTTACATTCCCACCAACAGTATGTAAGTGTTCCCTTTTCTCCACAGCCTCACCAGCATTTGTTGTTTTTTGACTTTTTAGTAATAGCCATTCTGACTGGTATGAGATGGTATCTTACTGTGGTTTTAATTTGCATTTCTCTGATGATAAGTGATGTGGAACACTTTTTCATATGTTTATTGGCCATGTTTATGCCTTCTTTTGAGAAATGTTTGTTCATATATTTTGTACATTTTTAAGTGGGGTTGTTTGCTTTTTGCTTGCCTAATTGCTTAAGTTCCTCATAAATTTTGAATATTAAACCTTTGTTGGATGCATAGTTTGCAAATATTTTCTCCCTTTCTGTACGTTGTCTGTTTACTTTGTTGATAGTTTCTTTTGCTGTGCAGAAGCTCTTTAGTCTAACTGGATCCCACTTGTCAATTTTTGTTTTTGTTGCAATTGCTTTTAGGACTTATAAATCCTTTCCCAAGGCCAATGTCCAGAATGGTGTTCCATAGGTTTTCTTCTAGGATTCTTACAGTTTGAGGTCTTACATTTAAATATTTGATCCACCTTGAGTTCAGTTTCATATATGGTAAAATGTAGGGTTCTAGCTTCATTCTTCTGCATATGGCTCACCAGTGATCTTAACACTATTTATTGAATAGATAGTCCTTTCCCCATTGCTTATGTTTGTTGACTTTGTCAAAGATTAGATGGCTGTAGGTATGCAGCTTTATTTCTGGGTTCTCTATTCTGTTCCATTGTTCTATGTGCCTGTTTTAATACCAGTACCAGACTGTTGAGGTTACTGTAACCTTTTAGTTTGAAGTTGGGTAATGTGATACCTCTGGCTTTGTTCTTTTTGCTTTGGATTGCTTTGGCTATTTTGAATTATTTTTCTATTTTCTTTAAGTTCACTTAGCTCTTTTGGTGGTATTTTCAGATGTCAACAGTGGTTCAAATTGATGATTCTGCAGACGAATGTCCTATTTCACCATCTTGCTGGCATCTGTACACTTGCCTTGTTTATTCTTGAATGAACATTCTTCAAAGTAAAATTTTGAATTACATCATTTTATTATGGGTTAAATTAGAGAGGATTAATATCTTTACATTACTGAGTCTTCATATCCATAAATGAGAATTTACGCAGATCTCTTTATATACCTCATAGTAATGTTTTAACCTTTTCTTTTCCCATGTAGCTTGTACATTTCTTACCCCTCTCCTGCCTGCCAGTGGTATTTTATGCCTTCTAAATCTATTATAAACAGTATTTGCTTCTTTTCATTTTAACTGATAACTTATACAAAGGGAGGTATTTCTGATTATTAAATTAATTTCCAAAAAAAAGTATTAAAAACTGTGAGCCGTTGAATCTTTTTTTTTTTTTTTTTTTTTTTTTTGAGACAGAGTTTCACTCTTGTTGCCCAGGCTAGAGAGCAGTGGCATGATCTCGGCTCACCACAACCTCTGCCTCCCGGGTTCAAGTGATTCTCCTGACTCAGCCTTCCGAGTAGCTGGGATTACAGGCGCCCGCCACCACGTCTGGCTAATTTTTTTGTATTTTTAGTAGAGATGGGGTTTCAGCATGTTGGCCAGGCTGGTCTCGAACTCCTGACATCAAGGTGATCAACCTCCCAAAGTGCTGGGATTACAGGCATGAGGCACCACGCCGGCCTAGGTGATTTTCTTATGTGCGTTTTCAAGGATCAAATAATAATAATTTTTACTTGGTTCCTATTTTTTATGCCTCTTGTTTAGTCTCTTCTCTAATTGAAATACTCTTTGTATCATAGGAAAATAAGGATAGACCCTAGTGAGAAGGGCCTAAAATTCTTTTTCAGGGTTACAGGAATGAAGGAATAAATAAATCTTTATTGCCACAAAATAAAGGAAACTCTAAACTCAGCCTCTCTGAGACCAAATTATAAAAAAAGTCATACATAGAATTTGAGAATATGATAGCACCATTAAGAGGGAAAGAGGAAAAGAGATTATGAGGTGTTGCATTGATAATATACTGTGACGTATAAGTATTAAAACATTTTTGTATCTCTGAATAGAAATTTTAGTCAGGCCTCTCTCCTTGAACTCCTAAGACGGAGTCAAACAAAATTTTCTATTTGCTTTCCCTACTAGTTATTTTTATTTTGCCTTCTAGAAACTCATCAATTTGAAGAAATATAGTCAATATGAGTCATTTTATAGGCATCCTTATATATGTATAAATTTAAATTTTACAGTGTTTGATACACATATTCATGTTCTATTACATGTATCTATATAGATACAGTCTTGTTTATGAAAATTGACATAGTATGCTATAAGTGAACAAAACTATATGAAAGAATAACAGACCATACTGCTTGATAGAAAAAGTTTTAAATAATAGAAAAGTGCTGCAACAGAGATAAGAAGAAAAAATATAACAACAAAGGTCTTATGGGAGCTTATTATCTGCCAAGCACAGAGTTAAGCTCATTAAGTGGATAATCTTATTTTTCCTCACACAATTATGCTCATTTTATAAATGAGAAAGCTAGAACTTTGAGAAGTTAAATCACCCAACTTTACATAGTTTATAACTGATTCTTGTTCTCAAAGGCAACTCTGCGTGACTGTGAAGCCCCAGCACAGGCTCCCATAAAAAGGGCATTTCCATTTACTGTAATATTTAAAAATCCACAAAAACTGATTTTTCAAAAGCCTACAGTTAAAAGAAAGTTGCTCAAATATTACCTAAAATAGAATAATCCGTTAAAAAAATTGATCACAATGAAAGAGGAAAAAAAAGCAGCTCACAGGAATTTTCTACAGAGGCATACAAAGATACACTCTCTAAACAAGAAAACCATTATCTAGTGAATGTTCATCAGAAACTAGAATATTCACTTTTGTTTAAGTAAAACTTTCACTAATTATATAGAGGGTTATACTTCCTATTGAGATAATTTATCACTATAGCCAAAGTTTCAGTGTAGAAAAACACCCCTGCTCATCAGTGTCTGGGATAGAAGTAAAACAGAGGATACTGCTTGAAACAAAACTGCTTAGACCAGCACACTTCTCTGATTTGTCAATGTCACTGATTTAAAAATGAAAGTTAATACCTTTTAAGATATCTGTACAATTCTAGGGCAGCTGTTTCAGAAGGTCAAATGACTCACAGCCAATGGGGAACTAGAGAGATATCTGAGGATTTGGCTGGTAAACCAGACTTTCACTGACAGGGTCCCCTTTGGGGCTGTGGTAGAGGTTCTCTTAAAAGACAGAGCAGCTTAAAGAAATCACTGAGGATTTTCACTATTACAACAACAAAATGATACTGAAGTGCTATATTGATTTTAAATTTGACAAAACGACAGAATCCCTGACAAAACAGAACCATTACTGTGGAATAAATCAGTTAGATTCTGGATCAGCCCCATTATTATTCATATCATCACAAGTGCTTTCTAAGATGTTGTCACCAGATTAGGGCACAAAGTGGGGAAGAGAGCTGGAAGGGCTTCTCCTTAAAGAGTATGGTTATTGTACTTCACTTCCATGCTTAATCATTTGATAACACTCACCCACAGTTGCTATTTTGGATACTCTATAAAATTCCCAGGCAGTTACCCATTTAATCTAACATAAATATGTGTTAAAATCTTTTCTGCTATTTCTCAAGGTCACGTGTTTGCCCATGGAACTTAGAGTACTGGCATCTCACTCAGTCACCGCAACAATGGCTTAAATCCTTCTTGACAGGTGGTACCTCTGTGTTCCTAGTGGCATCATACCACAGAAGGCTTCTCCCTCACACTAATGGGACTGAATCAATAACATCAGACTAAAAACATTAACCTTAGGAGTCTTATTATTCTGAAAAATATAATAAAACCTTCAGAATAAAGGTTTTATTATTAAAACTCAGACCCAATTAAAATTTTACAAATGAGAAAGTTAGAACTTTGAGAAGTTAGATTACCCAACTTTACATAGTTTATAACTGATTCTTGTTCTCAAAGGCAACTCTGTGTGACTGTGAAGCCCCAGCACAGGCTCCCATAAAAAGGGCGTTTCCATTTACTACAATATTTAAGAATCCACAAAAAATGGTTTTTTTCAAAACCCTACAGTTAGAAGCAAGTTGCTCAAATATTACCAAATATTACCAATATTACCAATAATCAGACCCAATTAAAATCAGAGAGAAAAAAAGTAACACAAGGCTGTGTAGCTCATGCACTACTAATATAGCCCATTGACTATTTAACTCATAGGATGCCTTTTAAAATAGTTTTTATTGTGGTAAAATATATATCCCATAAAATCTACCATTTTAACCATTTTAAGTGTACAGTTCAGTGGCATTAAATATATTCACATTGTTGTTCAACCACCACCTGCATCCAGCCCCTGAACTCATTTCATCCTACAGCTGAAACTCAAATCTTCTGAATAATTTGTGAAGTTGGCAACACACCATGCTGACCCTTAATTTGTGAAGAAGGCCCACAAGTATTAGAAAGATCCATTTGTAGAGGTGTCACTTGATGTGACATTCCTTGCTAGCACAGATCCATCTCAAACAAACTTCTAAAGCTTGGGCTACTCTGCTCAACTCTAAATCCACATGAAGAAATGTCTCCTATTCAATTGGCACCACATCCTAGCAGGATTTTGTGTTCTTTTTTCTCTACACTTTGCTTTTCAGATGGATTTTATATCTATACATCTTTATCTATATTATGTGTATACATATATACATATATTTTGCTTTGCAGGAGGATCATTTATGTGTGTGTATGTGTATATATATATATATATATATGAGAATGTTTCATAAGGACAAATACACCACTAAGTCTCTCATTCCTTTGCTATTGTAGAAATGGAGTTAGGAAACAAGGTGAAAAAGAGCCCTTTCACAGCCAGAGACTGTTTCTTTACCTTCTTGGAAACTGTAACCCTTACAGGAATTGTGCAAGAATTAAATGTGGGAGTGCTGGAAACCCAGAGCACACAGCCTTATGCACAAAGAGCTCTTCATAAATGGTAGATGGCATTAGCTTCAAGTTTAGAAACAATGTTTTCTTTTTGCTTCCTAGCCAGGAAAAGCCCTTTTGCTTCAAGCGACTAAAGAATGTTCTCTAACTTCCTGAGTGTTGTGTGTGTGTACTTGCCTCTGCTAATGTTTAGTTTGCCTTACAAGGACAATCTGCCTGACTTCGTGTTGGATAAAGGGAAGCTGTACATGAAGATGGAGAGATACAGAAGGAAACAAGCCATGATTTCAGTAACCCAGTGGCCATGACAGCCAGAGGCAGAATGAAGGCCGACTGAAACTAGATATCCGCTGACCACCTCTGGACCCACAGGTGCAGCTGTTTGGAATGACACCACACCTGGCAGCAGGGCTGACGTGTCCTGCAGACCTGCTCTTCCTCTGACTCACTGTGTCGCTGCCCACCACTGGCTCACGGCTTGGTAGCTACCCAGCCACACCCTCAGCCTCCCTTTTCCCTACTGTCGACCAACTGTGTGTCTGGCATGTAACACACACTCAGACTGAGAATGTTTCTGTCTCTGTGCTAACTGCAGTGTCTGCCATCCTTTCCTGCTCTCTCATAGCAGGTACCGAGTCAGTCCAGACAGCTGCTGCCTCTGGGCTCAGTGCTGATGGGCAGATCTCCAACCTCTGACCTTCCTTCTGCCTCCTCCATTAGTTCCACTCACATTTGCTCCAGTCAGGCCCGGAAAATAAAGATAACAATTAGGAACAAATACACACAGGCCATGGGAGATCTACTAATGCACTTTGTCCACTGCCCCAAAAACGTCCCATGACAGCTGGTGGACACTTTTTTAGATTTCCCAGTTAGAGCGGTTCTACATTTTGGATCTCAAAAATTCTCAACACTGATAAAGACCAGTGAAACAAGAATTCAGTTATAGCAAATTGTATGTTCTTTGTCAGAAAGTTTTAAAAAACAAAGTCCAATAATATTATTCAGAGAACATTTTCTTTCTTTGCATAAAATCTTCCTAGTGAATAGAGACAGACAGGGAAAAAACAAAATTCCATACATGGGAACAAGAAATAACGACTTCCATAAGGAAACACAAAACCAGGGAAGACACAGGCTGGAGGCGGGTGGGGTGGGGAGGGCAGTGGGAGCTGTGTGCGTGCGTGTCTGCGTGTGTGTGTTCTGTGCACATTAGGGGTTAGGTTATCTAGAAGAATTCTATCAGGAAGAGATAATTTACCCAAGAAACGAATTGAGGAAGCTATCTATGCTATAGGGGAAAATTTCAGAGATACTGAATAGCTAGTACAAAGATGGATCTTGCTTGACATTTTTAAAGAGCAGCTAGAAGAACAACATAGCACAAAATATTTGAAGCCACAGATAAGCAGAGAATACGGTCGAAGTTGCTTATTTCTTTTTATCTAAATAAGGTCAGTTCTTTATTGAAAATGACTACATTCATATGGTGCATAAAATATGTGGCAATTTACAGCAAGAATTAAAGAAAATAAAATTCTATAGATTTAAATTGGAAGCCAGTTGCAAAGGCAGAAGCAAGATGGGATGTGAAGCTGTGACAATGGTCCAGGTAAGAGATGGTGGGCAACTGGGCTGTCATGGTAATAACAGAGGTGAGGGAAAGTTGTCAGACTCCACATATACTCTGAAGCTGTGACTGACATGATCTGTCTAACGACTGAGTTGACAGGATATGCCTATGGATTGATCGTGGAGTGTGAAGGAATGGAAGTCATTGGTAACTCCACGCATATTGGCTCAAGCCAACAACTGGTAAATGCTGTGATATTTACTGAGAGGTGGAAGCCCAGGGGCAATAGGGTTTGGTGATGGGAAGGATATGGAGATAATAAACTTAGTTTTGGACGTGACTATTTGACATCCGAAAGGAAATGGAGTCTGGTGCTCAGAGGGGAACTTGAAACCTATGTCAGGGATGGATAATATCCTGAATATATCTAATTCCAACCAGAAGAAAATTTCACAATGAATTAAAAAGTTCTATATTTCCTTGCAGATTTAATTCTTTATTCTTTCAGAAATAAGTGAAAAATAGACATGAGGGAAAATGGCTTGTCAGTGATTGCTAATCTGGGACTATGGTTAATAGAATGTTATGGTATAATCTCTCAGCATGATTCCAGGACATGGTTAGGTGGATTTCTAAATATCTTTTCTCTCTTTCTGATTCAGAACATTTGTTCTTATTAGGCCATGTGGCTTTTTAAGGCCATTCCTATTACTACTACTATATATATGTATATATATATATATACACACACACATGATTATCCCAGAAAATTATCTTTTATCTTCCCTCTTCTGTTGTTTATTCTTTTGACCTTGTTTGAGTAATGGCACCTTTTAAAATGATGTAGCAGATGAGGAGATTATTCACCTCAAGTGAGTCTGTGTCCTGAAACACATTTTGTTAACTGAAAGTATAATACATAATGAAGCTTGTTCTGTTACTCAGAAAAGATTCATGTATTCCTGTTGTAAGTAACAGGGATTCTCTCTTTTCAACGGAGCTTTTACTACTCTGAAGATTCCATAAATCTGGCAGTTACATCTAGTTTTCTTGGGTATTTCTCAACACAAACTCAGTCTAGCCCTTGAAGCGTCAATGTGAAGCATGTAATTAGTAAGAATGTGGATTGATATATTAATCCATTCAGATAATCAAATGTCAGTGATTGATATGACAGCTGTACAATCTCTTATCTAAAGCCTTGGTATCAGATTTGCTTTAGATTCAGATTCATTTCATATATTAGAAAGGTCATACTGTGTATACACCAAATATGAGTGACTAGGTGGTAATCACATATGTTACTATTTTTGCAATAAAACATATGAATATTCACATTAAGCAGAGTAAGTAAAAAATGCAAATAGCCGCAAAGTCAGTACATTCAGATTTTGCTGCTAAATAAATTTGGGTCTGCTTAGGGTTCACCATTTTAAGAATTTTGCTTTTAGAATTAAAAATTGCAGATAAGCAACTGTGGATCTTTAATAATAGAAAACATTAGCATAGGTAATGGGTAAAACCAGACCAAAAAAAACAAAGCCATAAAAAGACAGAGGGAGAGCATACAAGAAATATATAAGACTGGAGAATGCATTTTTAACGTGTCCTTAACATAAAAGTAGAGGCAGCAGGATCCCTAGGAGAGAGCTGGAAATGCATTCTGTTCTCCTGGTACAGGAAGGTTAATACGATGACCCTGAGGGCAGGGGATGTAGCTGTGGTCAGGAAAAGATAATAATAATAAAGATAATAATGTGCTGGGAAAGATAATAAGCCTATAAAAACATAATTTTCATTAATCAAGAGTGTTAATATTTTAGGTATCAAAAATAAATCTTAAGTTATTTTAATATCATCCATTCATTTCTAAAATTAATGCCTTGGTAAAGGGCAGAAACTCTAATAAGAGATGTAATTTATTGTTAAGGCAGCAATGATAAGACTGGAGGACAGTCAATATCAGCCCATCTTTTTAAGAAAATGATAAATAGGAGACAGTCAGTGAAATTTATTTCTACAGAAGTAGCTTTGATAGGAAAAATACTAGACACAAGGGACATGCCTAGTGAAGAATATGATAACTATGACTCAGCTCACATTTCCCAAGAGTATATTACTAACCTCTACCATAATTATTTGCTTATTTACTAAAAGAATGGATTAATGAATAAACAAATGGAGAATATGTCCCTGAGATGTTGATGTAGCAGTTCAAGAAACACGAATCATGATGGTTACCAGTGGCAGGGAAGGGGCGTGGGGGGCTGGGGAGGAGATGGGGATAGTTATTGGGCACAAAAAAATAGTAAGAATGAATAAGACCTAGGATTTGATAGCACAACAAGGTGACTATAGTCAATAATAATTTAATTGTACATTTTAAAGTAACTAAAAGTGTATAATTGGATTGTCTGTAACACAAAGGATAAATACTTGGGATGGATATCCCATTTTATATGATGTGATTATTATGCACTGCATGCCTGTATCAAAGTATCTCATGAATCCCATAAATGTGTACACCTGCTATGCACTCACAAAAAGTAAAAGTTTTTTTAAAAAAAAGAAACTCAAATATCTACATAGGTATTTTATAATCCAAACTTGACAGCCTCTCTCTTTGCAATTTTACAACTTTCAGCAAATTCCCCATATTCTCTCCATCTCAGTCTGAACAGCCATTTCACATCTTACAGCTCACTGTTTGTTGTGTATCTCATCCATTATCCATGGTTTTGTTTGCATTACTTTTGCTTTCTGAAATATCCTCCTGAATTGTTTTCCAACAACCCACGAGGTAACGCTTTCTCCAAGGCCTGCCATTCTCAAGTCTCTTCGGGTCTGTGTCTTATAACTGAACACTCACAAGAACCATCTCTGGTTTGTTTTGTGGGTTCTCTCTTCAGTAGCATTAACATTTTTTTCACCATGCAAATTCTGTATAGTTGGTCATAGAGTAGGAAATGAAGCTATTAAATGGTTACAATTTGCCAGTCACAGTGATGGAGGATGAAGGAGATGCAAAGATAAAGCCCTATCCCCAAAAACCTTTTAGCTCAAAACGATGGAAGGCTGAGTCCTGAACCCTCATAGCACTACATTTCATTGTTTTAGTCCAAAACAAGTCCTAGAGATCTGCAGAGCCAGGAAGGACCATTTTCATTGTGGTTGTTCAAAAAAGGCATCCTGGGAGAGGATGAATTTCCCTCATTCATTCAGGAAACATTTCCTCATGTCCTAGTCCTGTTAGGCACAGTTAGGCTTTAGAGGCTGAGTTAGTTTTCCAGAACTGCTGTAACAAAGTGCCACAAACTAGGTAGCTAAAGTGATGGAGGCCATACGTCCAAGATCAGGGTGTCTGCCGGCCATGCTGCCTCCGGAGGCTCTAGGGAGGGATCTGTTCCATGCCCATCTCCTAGCTGCTGGTGCCTCCGGTGTTCTGTGGCTTGTCCATGCATTATCCCAATCCTCCCTCCTCACAGGGCTGCTTCCCTATGTGTCCTTGCACTGTGTTCCCTGTGTGTATAACTGTCTCTGGGTCCAAAGGTCCTTCTTGATGAGGACACCAGTCATATTAGATTAGGGTCAACCCTCCTGACTACACTTTAACTTGATTACCTCTGTAAAAACCTTATATCCAATTAAGGTCACATTCTGAGGTACTGGGAGTTAGGATTCCAACATATGTTTTTGGGAAACCACAAGTCAACCCAGAATAGAGATGCAGGGATGAAAGGCAGGCACAGTGACTTTGAAAGGAAGCTCACACTGTGAGCGGGCACCAGGAAAGTAAATCACTTGTTCCAGTGAAGCTCAACACGTTCCTACACGAGGTAAGATCATGAGAGTTGACATCTGTCATTTTAAGTGTTCTGGATTAGTAAGAACCTTAACCTTTACGCTCTTTCCCCGCAGGCTAGTAACCTTTCAGAGTAAGCAAAATTGGCAAATGGCATTGCCTTGGCTATGGTTTCCCTCTGAACTGCTTAACTTGATAACAAAAATGCTGACGGTACCTCTGTCATTGATGTATTTTTTTTTAGGAGGAAGAAAGAGCCAAATTACAAATACGATGCAGACTCTATATGAGTCTTCTCTTACAGCATCTCTTTTATAGGGAAACTGTCCACAACATTTTAAACATTATTAATCAATGCAGAGCAAGATTTTAAACAGATACAGGTTACTTTCAAACACTATGTAATAAATACTTATTATTATTATTATTATTATTATTATTATTATTATTGAGACAGAGTTTCTCTCTTTTTTGCCCAGGCTGGAGTGCAATGGTGCGATCTCCGCTCACTGCAATCTCTGCCTCCCGGGTTCAAGTGATTCTCCTACCTCAGCCTCCCAAGTAGCTGCAAAAGTCAAACAAAAAGTGATTACCCTGGCAAAGAGGCACTGACATATAATCAGAAACAGAAATAATGTCACTGTTATGAGGATATTTACAGATTCAGAGAATGTCACAGAGATCTGTAGTCTATGAAAAACTAAATCTGGCCAGGCGCGGTGGCTCACTCCTGTAATCCCAGCACTTTGGGAGGCCAAGATGGGTGGATGACCTGAGGTGAGGAGTTCGAGACCAGCCTGGCCAAAATGGCAAAACCCTGTCTCTACTAAAAATACAAAAAAAAAAAAAAAAAAAAAAAATTAGCCAAGTGTGGTGGCACACGCCTGTAGTCCCAGCTACTAAGGAGGCTGACGCAGAAGAATTGCTTGAACCTGGGAGGCAGAGGCTGCAGTGAGCCAAGATTGTGCCACTGCACTCTAGCCTGGGTGATAACAGCGAAACTCTGTCTCTTAAAAAAAAAAAAAAAAAAAAAAAACAAGAAAAACTAAATCTGGCTGCTTAATAAAGGACACACAATTCTTCAAGTTCAAAGTCTGTGTTCCTGTGCTTGTCATACACACAGAAACTGCTCATTTATTACATTTTGAAATTTCAGTGTCTTTCAAAAACATCAGATCAAATCAGAGAAAATAAATGAATTCAATCTACCACTCTAAAATAATGCAGAGGCAATGTTAAATTACTTTATTAAGCAAACCCAGAAAAAATAAATTATATATGATTTGTATTATTTTTTAACTTCCACACTATTTAATGGTATAATATAAGATTGTCTTTCAATGCTTTCAATGAAATAGGTATCTTACTTTCACTTAGAACATTTTTTTCTACGTAATTCTTAAAATTCTGTTTTTCTAATAGGTTTGCAGCAATAGGTAGCAATTATTATTATTAGAAACATACCCAGATGCTTTCTTCTCGGCGATACTGCTTCCAGTTTCTCCCACCATCACTGAACATCAGGAGGTAGCTGGTCACCCAGTCAGAGCTCCCATATCCTCCTTGGGTGGCGACAGCAGTGACCTCCATTCTCTCTCCAAGGTCAATTTGCAGCCATTGGTATTTATTTGACACAAGTGGAGTCCAGCCACCAGCTCCTTTATTGAAACAGAAAAAGTATAAAAATGGTAGAGGAGGAAGTTATTTAAACATAGCTGTTACTAGATTAGAAAACTATAAAATTATGAATATATATTAAGAAAATCATCGATTTACAATAGAAAAAATAGAAGAATTACATGTGACTGGATGAACCCTAAATTGTGTTCACATTTAGCTAGATGACCCCTGACATTCTAGAAGGCAGGTGTCCTACTGACTGCAGAAAATGTTTGTTTAATGCAGGTGGCCACTAGAGCATTCCTGTCAACTTTTGGAACTAGTGTTATTTCATAGCCCTTGTGCAAGATTTGCCCTTTGCCAACCTAAGAGACTAAATTCCAGTAGTAGGAAGTACAGCATTAAGCACTGATAAAACAAAGACGGTTAATATATTGACCTTGCACTCAAAGTGCTTACAGTCTCATAGGAGAAATGGATGTAAAAGAAGAGTTAAAACATAGAGTGCTTTGTGAGGCAATCCCACTTACATGTGGAATTTTAAAAAGCTGAATTCACAGAAGTACAGAGGAGAGTGATGGTTACGAGGAACTGGGGTGTGGAGGAGATATTGGTAAAAAAATACAAAAAGGTATGGAGTAGCAAATGGTCAAGGTGAGTCCTAAGCAGGTTCTGGTGCACTCTGCTCTCTCTGGCAGTACTGCAGGGAAACTGGGGCAAGTCTCACACAGTGCTCATCCACCTTGGACAAGGAAAAGGAGACTGTCGGGTATTGAAGAAGATGCGTGCAGAGCAGAAAATTTGCTTTTTGCTCTGACCAATGCCAAATCTGAAACAAAAACATAGGCATGTCCGCTGATGTTTTATTGATGTTTGTTATTTTTCTAGTCTAATAGAATTAGGGGACACTCGAAAACCACAGCTTCTTTAATAATCAATGTCTAGAAAAAGAGAGTGCTCTATAAACAATTCCCAAGCCGAGGAGTCAGAACACTTTTATTATTCCCTGGTGCTGCCACTTACCTGAAGGCTCTGATAGAAAGTCTGAAGTTCTAGACAGTTCATTATTATTCATTGACTTATACTGTGTATTTTATTATTAGGGGTTTATCATTATGTCCTCATTTGTAAAGTCTTTAGTACTTCACTACATGTCCAAAAAAGTTTGATATTATTAGAATATAGCTAGGTGTAAAAACGAATAAGTGAGGACATTATACTTTAATATAAGTTATTATGGGGAAGTGTTGAGAAATATAAATATTTATATTTAAATAATAACAATTCATACTTAAATAATAAATATAAATATTAGGCACCTATTTGAATTGATGACCACACTTAACTACTGTTTCCTTATGATTCCCAAGTTTACAGATTCTTAGAAGTCAGATTCTAAGATATTTTTGTAGTGAATCTTTGTTCAAAAATATTTTTTCCTCTGAATGTACGATAAGCACCTCTAAAGTTTATATTATATATATAGTATGTACACAGACATATATATAATTTTTGTTTGTTTTGCTTTTTATTGTTCCATGTTTTGAATTGAAGAGTCAGGAATTTGATCTAGTAGACAAGATGGAAAATTATTGGTAACCAACACTGTGCATCTGATTGACACTAAAATACTCCATTTATTTTCTTAATCCAGACAGCTAGGAGGTGGACACAGCTCTTGTTCAAAGTTAAATGTTCTGCTACAGACCAGGGGCATCCTCCACTCATGCAACATGGTTTCCTAGATCGGGCAATATTTATTCTTGGATGATTTACAGCAATATTTATGTGAGCCCCTGCCAGAGACAGTGCACAGATTTCTTTAGCCCTCAGTAGGAACTACTTCCACAGTTTCTTCTCTCTGCTCATTCCTCCTTCCAACTTAACTTTTCAGGATGTAACAGAATTCCACCTACCCACTTCCATAATCACTCAATTTAACAATGAACACTTATCGAGCATTTGAGAACTCTAGGTCAGGCAAAGAGTTCCCTTTAAATAAATTTTGCATTTAATTCCTAACATACCTTTAAAAGACAAGGCCTCATTACTACCCTCCATATATGGTGGGCAGCTCACCTATGTTTACGCATCTAGCAAGGGGCCCATGAGCTTTGGATCCAGAACCTGTGCAATTAAATATTTCTATTATATTATTTTGATGATAATCGTGGGATGTGGTGTTTCTCAAATAAATGTAACAAAGATGTAAAGACGTTTGGGAGTGAGCAGGTCTGGCTACCTAAGGCAGCAGCCCCCATACAGCAGGGCAACCTCTCCTACTCCTGGTCAGGCAAGGTCTGGGTTTCGGAAAGCTGAGGGTGCAGTGCCAATGGGTTTTTCTCTACTGGCCCTTCCTGTTGACTCCACCAGATCTACTCTTCTCTCCTAAGCCTATGTAAACTTTAATTGGTGGGAGATCCTTTTGGGGTTGGTCTAACTAGCAACCAATAGTCCTAGGTACAACACTAATGAAACTGTGTATCCTTTTCTGTTTTTCTTATTACTATTTTATGGGGGTTTTTTTTGTTGTTTTTTTTGTTTGTTTGTTTGTTTTGAGATGGAGTCTCACTCTGTCACCAGCCTGGAGTGCAGTGGCGAGATCTCTGCTCACTGCAACCTCCAACTCCCTGGTTCAAGCAATTCTCCTGCCTCAGCCACCCAAGTAGCCGGGATTACAGGTACGTGCCACCACGCCCAGCTAATTTTTGTATTTTTAGTAGAGAGGGGTTTCACCATGTTGGCCAGGATGGTCTCGGTCTCCTGACCTAGTGATTTGCCCATCTCGGCCTCCCAAAGTGCTGGGATTACAGGCACGAGCCACTGGGCCCAGCCTATTTTATGGCTGTTTTAAAAGAGTTGGGAGAAGGTGAGGGAGA
This sequence comes from Homo sapiens, assembly GCF_000001405.40. NCBI lineage: Eukaryota > Metazoa > Chordata > Mammalia > Primates > Hominidae > Homo > Homo sapiens. The sequence continues at coordinate 61,377,033 of NC_000009.12, read as the reverse complement.
TGCTAACAGCCAACCCATCATCTTAGGCTGGATGTTGTACATTGGGAATTTTATACACAGAGCTGAAACTTCTGAGGAACTATTCAATATTTTTGGTTCTTCCCCTCATCTTAGTTAAGGGCATCCTCTTCAGCTTGTATTTCATAACCTTTCTTTGGTGTTTTCACTCCCTCTCATTCCAGGTTTAGAAAAGTAATTACTATGAGAACACATGTGGAGAAGCACAAGGAGGAAAATGAGTTGACACGGTTCTGGTGTGCTACCCTGGGGTGGTGTGTTTTCATCAGATGAAGAGGGAGCCGCTGGCCATCCCTCTTCTCGGCATCCCTCACAGTTTGTTAGTTTGTTGGTGTTCATGGTTGCACTCCTGGTAACAGATGACACATTTCAGTGACTTCATTTTACCTTTGATGAAGTAGTACTCAAATGCAAATAAGCTATATTTTCAGCCATTACTGATAAAGTAATGAAATTCTGGCATTACCAAAGAATTTCATCAGGATGTTGTAGCCTCAGGAAATCTGCAATCCCAGATGCGTTTTAAGGGTAAGCTGCTGTGCACACAATTTAATTAAACGCTGAGTGGAAATGGTGGGAAACACAGCGTGACTGACCTGTGCACTGCTGGATAGCACTAGTCTGTGTGCCTTTGTTAAAGGCAGCTTTGATGGTTGGTATAGAAGGCCACTATGGGTAACAGAAAGAGAAAGGAGGTTGGCTGACTCCACCCCCAACTAGAGTGTAGTAATTGTCCAGTCACTCAGCCTCTCTGAGACAAAAATGTTGTCCTTTGTTTAAAAAAGAAAAGCATAAAGTTGGGAGTGGGGGGATTAACAGTCATATAAATCACGTCACAAGACTGTAAGGAAGACAATGGGATAACTGAAACTACAGCACTTTGTAACTAAATTATTATTCAAATGTGATGTTATACTCAATTTTTGTTGTCTTTAAATTAAAACAAATGAAAGTCTTCTATTTGTTAAGTCAAGATTATACATGTGCTGACTACTTTTCAACCTGGAAGTGTCTTTTCATAGTCCCTTCTAGTCTATGGTCAACAAAACTTTGTACACAAAACAGGGGAAGCAGTTATGTCCTCTAAGCTCAGCCTCTCCCCCATAACAAATGTTTCTTCTCCACTTCACCCTCCTCCCCCTGCCTCTGACAAGACATTGCACCTGAGTTAAATAAAGTGTCACAATTCTACCCCACAGATCCTATGAATTATGAAAACTCATCCCCTCCATTCATAATATATGTTCTGACACACATGTTCCATTACTGGAATGAGATTAAAATATGCTGAGCAACTGAAACTTTCTCTTACACTTTATATGGCTTGAGGAACAGCAGATGTTATTTTTTAAAGGGTAATTCGTTTTTATAAAGGTTGATATTGGTACCACAGTGAAGATGCTGAGCTGCGCTAACTGTTTTGTCCCTAAATGTTCACACAACATAGGATTTATCTTATGAACCGTTTTATCCACTTTTAAGTTTTCAAGTTCTGAGGAAATTATTAAAGTTTTGCCACTTATTTTGTAATGGAAAACAAGGGAAAAGGGGGAAGTGAGAAACTCTGAAGCATATATTGTATGCTGAGAATTCGACCAGATATTTTCAAGCATATTATCATTTTTTATTTCTAAAAGCATTCAGTGGGTTGTCTTTATCGTATCTACCTTACAGATGAGAAAATAAAATCACTAATTAAAACACATGGAAAGATATTATTTTTAAAATCAGCTTATGTTTCATTTTTATCCCTGTCCATGAATATATTCACATGATTTGTCAATCACTTAGTACTTTTTGGTTATGAATAATCTGGCATGATTATGTCTCTATTTTGTACAGTTATATCTGTTTGTTATAATTCTGCACTTACATCAGGTCAAAGTTACATTTCACTATCTGGGGCAGGGGGCTCTGTGAAAGAAAAGTAGAAACCCTACAGCTGGAGCCTTAATTATTTCTGACTAACAACAATAAAACTTCCCATGACTATAGTATCTAGTCATAAGTGACAGCACTGTCACAGAGTATGTATTGACTTTGTTTACAGGGGAAATAATGCACAGGTAAATCATCATCATCATCATTACAATTATCATCATATCACCATAATCTTATACCTTCCTTAACTAAATTTGATGTTGAGGGCACAAAATATAAGTAAACAAAGTAAATGTTCAAAGCCAGCCACTATTAGGGACTTCTGTATACCAAGCAAACACACAGTTAAGTCAACCTTGTCCCCACGAGACACTTCCCACTAAGATAACAAATTGTTTCAAATGTGATTTTATCCAGATATATTTGTTTCTTTCCTCATCTAATTGCATTTTAATTCACATTAAAAATTTCAGGTATTCCCTGGGGTGAGCAGGAGGTGGGAAGTGAGATGTGAGGTAGGGACTGTCACAGCTCCTACACTCCAGTGTGATTATATGTAATTTATAGGGAAGAGGAGTGAAGCTGGCTTTAAATCAACTCCCTCATTCCACTTCTGAGATTTATAGGCTTTAAACAGCCATGCTTTTTGTCAGTAGGTCTGCCTTTTTGCTGAGGGTAATTTAAACATTTACCTGAGATCTAATTTCATTTAGAAAAAAAAGGGCTAACTACACAGATATAGAATCAGGTACTACAGTCTTTTTCAACTATGCTGTTTTAAAGTAAAAAATACAGAAACCCTCCCTCAGAATCTGTCTTTGTGTACATGTTCTATTTCAGCAGTAATTCCTTCAATCTTAGCAGGTTGAAGCAGAAAGAATATTCAGCCTACTAAAAATGTGTTCATAAAAAAAGTACTGCAATTATGGTTAAAATCTCAGAGTGTATATAACAATTTATAAAATGTATTCTCTTACAAAATGCATCTACACTCCCTAGTAGCTTTGAAAATGGACAAAGAATAAACAAAAAACAAATAGTAGATGTTAGACTTAAAATTAATCATATAATCATATTAAAGGCAAGTAGTACAAACACTCCTATTAAATGGCAATGATGGTCAGATTAGATGAGAAAGCAAGATCCAACTATATGTTGCCTACAAGAAACACACTTTAAATAAAAAAGGCTCAAATAGCCTAAGTGTAAACACATGGAAAAATATATATTATGCCAATAATAGTTTTTTAAAAAGCTGGATTGGCTATATTAAAGTAGATTTCAGTGCAAAAATTATTATAAAAGGTAAAGAAAATTATTTCGTAATGATTAAGATGTTCTTTCATCATAGGACATAATCCTAAACATGCAAACACTTAATAACAGAGCTTCAAAATACATGAAATGAAACCTAGTAAAACTGAATGAAATAGATAAATCCACAATGACAGTAGGAGATTCTAGCACCCCGTCTCGGTAACTGATTGCACAAGAAGACAGAAAATAGGGATTCAGAAGTATTAATTATCACTATCAACCTATATGATTCATTGATATTTATGGAATGTTTCACCTAACAGAAGAACATGTATTCTTTTTCAAGTTCATTTGGAACTTTTACCAAAATAGACCATTAAACGAGTCATTAAACAAGTTTCAACAAAGTTAAAATCATTTAAGTCATGTAAAGTATATCTTTGTGATATACAATAGATTAAAATAAGAAATCAACAATAGCAACTTCTCTGAAAAATCCAGGAATATTAGGAAACTAATAACACATACTTCATAATCAATGAATCAAAGAAGAAACTAAAAGGGAAATTAGCAAGTATTTCAAGCTGAATGAAAATGAAAATACAACTTATCAAAATCTATGGGCTGGAACTTCTGGCTTCTGCCCCAGGAAGTAGAAAGCTATAAGGAGCCTCATTTCCACCCTTACAACCAACTTCAAGTTCATGATCTTTTACAAATGCATTGGAGAGTTGAGCTTGCAGAACCACCACCTAGCCTAAAATCTAAAGAGATATGAACCTCACAGGGAGAGATGTGAGCAGGATCTCACCTTACATAGATGAAACCAGAGGTCAGTAAGAAAAGTTCAGCTGGAATAGTTAACAAAATGGTGAAACCTACTGTGCAGGCTGGTGGGACAGTGAGAAATCCTTTATCACCCCAGAAGTTGGGGGAGTGTTCCCTCTTGCAGGCACTTGCTCCACTGGCCATTGGCAGAAACTCACATGCACTCCACTGAGAACTCTATTTGGCCCTCACAGAAAACATCAGAAAGAGCCCTAAAGGTTAAATGACTCAGCCTATAACCTCCGTTATCTCCACCACATCTTGATTTTTGGGTAGGTGTAGTTCCATTCATCTTGGTAACTAACTGCATAATTCAATAAAACCATCATTGTGCATTTTTTCATACATCCAATAAATTATCTGATGAGACATATAATCTCAAATTATCACTTGAGCAGGCAAAGAAGCCATTATCTTCACTTGGTGAGTAGAAACAATTAGGCAAAAGTGATGGGTGATGTGCAAACGGGGCATATGAGGAGAGGGCTGGAATGGAGTCAGGGCACCCTGAGGCTGACTGCACGCCTCTCATTGTGTTCCATTTCCCACAGATAGTGTGTTTACTTTCTTCAGGGAGTGATTAAACACGTGTATTTGTCTTTCTTATTAAATGACAATTGATATCATGCAAGGAAACACGAGAGTGAAATGCTGAGAAGTGAATATTTTAGTGAATACCAAATTATCCATCTGTATGTGATTGATTGCTCAGTCAACCAAAATCCCCTAGCCCACCCCCTAAAAAAAAAAGAGATGGTAATATTTACATTTTTCCTAAGGATATTATGTAGTTAAACTAATTATAGTTTATGAAATTGCTGTGAAAGCCTCGTATGAAAAGAGACATGCATTTGTTATTGCATGTAATAGGACACTATCAAAATATGATGCAAAAGGAATGTCCTCTAAACATTACAATAATGTTTATTTTAAGTTGCTATTAACAGAGAAATTTTTTTAGAGGCAAGCACACATCGGGTACAATGTGGGGCGTCAGAATTCTGCTAAAGTTTGTCCCACTGAATTCTTTGGAAAAAATATGACAACCTAAAAAAATCCAGTTGGCAAAAATTAATGTGAAAGAAAATAGGTGAATCTGCACCATGTCCTACAGAAGTTCTGGAATGCCTCCGTTAACACTGACTTTAATAACTAATGTAGGAGAGTTGGTTATAGGACCAACTGTTGTAATTTACCATTTTCATCATTGGTCATAGTCCTTTTGAATCCGTTTTGAAGCACAAATTAAACTGCCAGTCAGAAATTAAATGTTATTTAAGAAAAAAATTATTTTGAAATATAGCTTCACATCAATTGGCAAAGATAGTACAGAGAAGTGATGTGTACTCTTCACCTAGTTTCTACCAATGGTTACATCTTATAAAATTACAGTACAATATCAAAACCAGGAAACGATGTGTCTATGTAGTTGTATGACACGTTTAGGGTCCGTAACCCCCACCACAATCAAGAAAGAGAACGACTTCACTACCACAACAATCCTCCTCATTGGTACCCTTTACAGTTATACATAGCAACCACTAATTTGTTTTCTATCTCTATAATTTCCTCAATTCCTCAGGTTCCTAGATGGTCTGTCTTCCCTACAATTTTTCATTCTTATGTTTATTTTATATATAAAGTGCCTTTTAAAATGTACTTATCAGGAAGAATATATTAAAGACATGTACTTCATCTCTCCGGAGCAGAAGCTGGCAATATGATGGTGAATACAGTGTCCCTTTATTCTTGAGTGATTCCAGTTGCCTCTGGTAAATAGGAAGTTTCCTATTCAACCTCACCTTTCTTGCCAAGAACTGCATGACAGTTGAGCTGTCACATGTTATCACTGGATTTTTTTGAACAGGAAAAAAGTGAAAGGACAACATTTTTAGAAGGAAGAATGCAAACTGTAAGAGAGCGATGCGAAAATCCTAGAGAGGAGTGGGACGGCATTCTTCATTAAGAGTAATTGGTAACATTAAGGAACAATTAAGTACATAAAGAAATCATGGCCTATCGGTAGCTTTAATTTTATTACTAAATAGCAACCAGTTCAATGAATATGCCACATTGTGGTTATCCATTCAGTGGCTGATGGACATTTGAGTTGTTTCCAGTTTTTGTCTACTGTATTAGTCCATTTTCACACTGCTGATGAAGACATATCTGAGACTGGGTAATTCATAAAGAAAAAAGGTTTAATGGATTCACATTTCCATGTGGCTGAGGAGGCCTCACAATCATGGCAGAAGGCGAAAAGCATATTTTACGTGGCAGCAAACAAGACAGAATGACTATCAAGCAAAAGGGGTTCCCCCTTATAAAACCATCAGACCTTGTGAGATTGATTCTCAACTACGAGAACAGTATGGGGGAACCGCCCCCATGATTCAGTTATCTCCCACTGGGTCCCTCCCACAACACCTAGGAATTACGAGAGCTACAATTCAAGATGAGATCTGAGTGGGGACACAGCCAAACCATATCATCTACTATGAATAATGTTGCTATGAATATATATATATATATATAAATTTTTTTTACATTTTTTACATTTTTGCATTTACTTTTTTTTTTTACATTTTTTTTTACATTTTACAACAGGCAGAGTCTCGCTCTGTTGCCCAGGCCAAGATTCAATGCAATCTCAGCTCACTGCAACCTCCACCTCCCAGGTTCAAGCGATTCTCCTGCCTGAGCTACCCGAGTAGCTGGGATTCCTGGCGTGCACCACCACGTCCAGCTAATTTTTGTATTTTTAGTGGACACGGGGTTTCGCCATGTTGGCCAGGCTGGTCTCGAACTCCTGACCTCAAATAATCCATCCACCTCGCCCTCTCAAACTGGCGGCATTACAGGTGTGAGCCACTGTGCCCAGCCGCTATGAACATTTAAGTCTTAGAGTGAACATATATTTTTTGGAGTGGAATTGCTGGTTTATATGGTAAGTACATGCTTTTACTTTTTAAGAAACTGCCAAACTATTCTCCAAGGTGGTGGCACCATTTACATTCCCACCAACAAAGTATGACAATTAGGATTATTACAATTAGGACAATTCCAGTTTCTTCCAATCTATAAACATAGTGTGTCTCTCAATTTATTTGAGTCTTCTTTATTTTCTAATAGCTATGTTTTATAGTGTTCCATGAACAGGTCCTGCACACCTTTCGTAAGATCTACATTTAAGTATTTTATTTTTTAATGCTATTGTGAATGAAATTCTTTTCTTAATTTGATAATCAGATCGTTACTACTACATAAAAAAGAACTGATTTTTGTATATTAACCTTGTATCCTGTTAACTTGCTAAAATTCACTTATTAGTTGGTGTCTTTTAGATTTCTAGATTTCTTAGAAGATCTCCATATAGGATCATGTTATCCATACACAATCATGTATGGAGAGACAGTCCACTTTAAGCAGCTTGCACTCCTACATGTTTTGTTGGGTCTGCTAAGACTACAAAGGCCTAAAAACTCTTTTATGGACCCTTTTTTCATGGTTGTTTATGCAGCTGGTTAACCTTGAGAGGTGAGGTTACATTTTCTTCCACACAAAAAGCCTTCTCACTTACTACTTGCTATAACTGCAGTAGATTCCCCCAGCTCATTATTTCTCAGCTGCAATACAAGTCTGCTATGAGTGTAATATTCATACGTGCCCTATTGCATTGCCACTGTGGGCCTCAGGGGCAAAGGAGACAGATACAAATATGCTGAAACTCATGTTGTTGTTTGTGGTGCCATGAGTAATATAGTTCACAGGTGTTGTCATTCTTTAATTTTAGCCATCCTAGAGAACATATTATCTCTCTATGATATTAACTTATATTTCTCCAATGGTTAATGATTTTAATACCAAATGTTGACCAGGATAAGAAGCAACTGGAATTGACACACATTGCCAATGGGAGTATAACATGTTCAAGGGCTTTTGAAAATAGTTTGACAGTTTCTTTAGAGTTTCACATACTGAAATTCCACTCCCAAAAGCGATGTAAAAGAATGTTTGTAGAAATTTATTCATAATAGATCCATACTGGAAACAAGCCACAAGTGTCCATTTTAAAAAGAATGGATAAACAAACAGCACAATTGAAATCTACTCAGCAATAGAAGGAAATGTGCCACAAATCCACGCAACAACATGGATGGATCTCAGAAACCTTATGCTCACTAAAGGGAGCTGGATACAAAAGCTTCTGTATGATTCTGGTACTGTATGACTTTTTGTAAGTTCAAAAGCACAAGCCAACCTAAATAATATGACAGAAAGTAGAACAGTGATAGGTAGGAGGTGCCTAGATAATCAATAAAAAGTATTAACAAATGGTAAGGGGGTGATGAAATGATCTGTAACTTGATCTGGGCTCTGGTAATACAGGCATATACATCTGTAAATATTAACCAAATGGCACACTTTATGCATTTAATTGTATTTTAAGTTATGCCTCGATTTCAAAAATTTTAAAAATAATTTTTAAAGTGACCCAAGAGAATCAGACCAGCCAAATATTTGTTCTCATGTCTAATCTATATTAACATCCTTATGAATATTTTGTTTGTTTGAATGCCACTTCCTTAGTACTAACAACCTATTTTAGATGAATTTTAATTAAAGTTACATATGCTGCTGAAGCATACTCTTTGCGTAAGTAAATAAGATTAATTTCTTTAAAATCTACATATTTCTTCAACCGAAACACATTTTGCTATAGATAACTTGATGCTATTTTGTTTGGCCTGTAGTCAGCTAAATCATTCAACATTTGTAACATATTCACATTGTCATATGCTACAAATCTGAGGGAAAAAAGCATAAAAATAGAATGCCATTGGACTTACTAGTTCTAAGAACTATTAAAAGGCACAGATAAAAAATTTAGTAAACAATATCCTCAGGCAAAATATTTTCTGTTGTATTAATGTTCTACTTTTCAGGTCCTTTGTTGTATATGTAAATTGGCACATCTAACACCTAGGCACATTGGGAAGCTTAGTGTAGCTTCTGACCTATAAGCTAAGGAGGGGAATACGCAAGAATTTTGATTTTATGAAAAATGAGGACCAGGCGTGGTGGCTCACACCTGTAATCCCAGCACTTTGGAAGGCCAAGGTGGGCGAATCCCCTGAGGCCAGGAGTTGGAGACCAGCCTGGTAAACATGGTGAAACCCCATTTGTACCAGAAGATATAAAAATCAGCCGGGCCTGGTGGTGGGTGCTTGTAATCTCAGCTACTTGGGACAAGGGTAATCCCAGCTGTTCAGGGAAAGGGAAAGGGAAAAAGGGTGAAAGGGGGAAAGGAGAAAGAAGGGGAAAGAAGGGGAAAAGGGAGGGGAGGGGAGGGGAGAAGAAAAATGTAGGGGAATTTAATTCTTATTAGATTAGTTATCTTAAATATTTGCTACATTTACATTATTCTATCAGAGATTGATACTCTTTATATTTTTAAATTATTGCATACATTTTTATCAATTTCTTTCCTCTAGATTCCTCATACAAAACAATGAAATCTCACATCCTATTCTGTTTTGGGATATTGCACTGTGCAGAATAGTGGAAATTCCAAGTAGTTAAAGATCGCATACTATAACAAACCATTTGTGGGTCATTTCCCCAATGTAAGAATTTTGCTTTTATTTATTAATATGATTTTAAACTATGGTGCTAAGTTTTCATTAGGAGTTATACTTCCTAATGTGGGAAATAAATATCTTGATATTGAAAAGCCCTTACAAATATCCTGAGCTATTCATTTTGTATTAAAAATATTCAGTAATTATTTTCTCTGCCTCTTAATCACTGAACCTAGTCAGTGTGCCAAGAAAGCATGATCACATGGAAGGACATCTGAATAGTGGAGAAATTCGAGGAGTGGAGGGAAAAGATCCAGTATGTTTCCATTTGCTCTGTGTTTGCAGTTTAGCACACAGGTTTCTAAATTATCCTTGTCTACGAAATTCATTCCCATACACCAACGTTAATTTCCATTCAAACCCACGGGCTTGCTCCCTGATTGTACTCTGCACGTGAGAGTTCATGGTTTTCAATATATAAAGCCCGTTTGAATCATTAACGCTTCTGGCTGAGAATGAGAGTTAACGCAAGCACTTTCTAAAAACAGAAAAAGAGGGCAAAATACATATACGCTTTTGCCTAGCCAGTTTCAATTTGCTTCTAGCAAAATTATCCATTTCATCCCTACTCCTGCACTTCTATTTCACATTAACGAAGGAGAATATGTACTTATTAAAATGGAAAGTTGTCTCACATAAAATGCTACTGAGCCAATCCAATGAATGTTCGCAATTAAAGGTATAATAATCATAAAAAGAAGAAAACTTGATAAGCAAAAGAACAATCAAGTACTAGCATGAGTTACTAAGTGTTTTATTTCTTAAGCTTTTGTCTAAATAACTTTGGATCACATAGTTTTCTTAAGGAGACACTTAAGAAGAATGACAAATGGAGCTCTACTTTTTCTTTATTTGCCTTTTCTTGTATCAAATGCCCCATCATATTTTAGAAATCTTGGTTTTGCAGAAAAATTTAGCAATGTGCAATTCCAGGAAATATCAATGTAAACTTAATGACAACAAAGTCAGGTTTAATAGTCAAATCCAAATTTCAAGAATTTCATATTTTATATAATGGCACCAATTTTCCTGCAGCTGAATATACACAATCTGACTATACCTATATGTCAGTATACATACATATATATACTGAAATATATATGTATGTATATACTGACACATATAGTCAGTATATGACTATGACTATAGTCAGTATATATGACTATGACTATATATAGTCAGTATACAGTCAGTATATACTAACATATATGTATATGTGTATATGTACTGACATATATATGTGTGCTTATATGCACACACACTGACCATGTATGTACTGACATATGTGTGTGTGTGTGTATATATATATATACACACACTCACACTGACCGTATATATGTATATATTCCTGCAACTGAATACACACACACACACACACACACACACACACACACACACATACATTCAGCTTCAGGAAAACTGGTGCCATTATATAAAATATAAAGTTCTTGAAATTTGGATTTGACTATTAAGTACACACTGACTCTCTCTAAATATATATATATATACACACACACACACACACACACATATAGTATATATTTAGTACACAGTACATACACACACACAGATATATACATATGTGTTGTGTATTTATGTAGATTTATTGAACACATTAAAATCTATTAATTTGCAAAATTATATATACAAAATTAATCATACACTTGTGATGAACCTTTTCATTCTTTCATGTTTCTTTGCATAAAGAAGTAAGAGAGTTGTTTGGATATTAGAGTGGAAGAGTATACATACATAATCAGAAATTTCCAGAGGAAACATGAAGAGATGTCAACTATTTCTCCATTTTTTACTGATAATGCTTTCCAGAATCATGACTTTTGATTTTTGCTGTGCTATAATTACTCGCTCTTTACAATGTCCACTTACTTCCTTCAGGGATATGACAGGAAGATTGAGAAAAACTGTGGCTGGAAGGCCGGCAGTGCTGTAGAGACCCTGGGACCTGGGCCCTTCTTCTTTGGCTCCAGGTCATCCTGTGGTCTCCCCACCTTCCTCCTGCTTCCCTGGGCCCTCCTCACAACACTTCACAGACTTCTGTCCTCGTCTTGTTGCAATATCTTTTCTAAAATGTATTTTACAATAATTTCTCTACATTTCCTAAGCATCTGAAACGCAGTGTGACAATTTCATATATATTAATACTTTATACAATTCCTCATTCTGTTTTAGGAAAAATTACAAATCAGTTTAAAACTATTTTGGCAAGCAATCTAAATTAACTAAAGAATATCTTCTTATTGCTTTCCTGTAATAGGAAAGAGGTGGTGATGAGATGGTACACAGGTAATTCTTTATGAAAGCTATGGAATTCAGGGCATTGCTAATTCTTACTAAAATATGTGGAAACTAAGCAACTTTGAGCATCATAAAAAATAAATAGGAAGGTACATGGAAGAAAAACCATGTTCTCTAAAACCCCATAAAGCTAAGTTTTCTAAATATAATGAAATGTAAAATTTTTTAAAAATCTGACTTTTTTCTGGTTTATTTTCCTTTTTAATTTTTAATTTTTGTGGGTATGTAGTAGTTGTATGTATTTATAGGGTACATGAGATATTTTGATACAGGCATGTAATACATAATAATCACATCATAGAGACTGGGGTATCTGACTTAAGCAGCTTTTGTACTGGACCACACTTAAAATAGCTTAAAGCTAAAATAATGGTATACAAAGAATTATCAGCACAGTCAACAATCATCATCATCATCATCATCATCATTTTCCGTTTTTTCAATCTGAACCAAAGGGAGATTGTTATATCTACTGACAAATACAAAAATCAAATGGGATTATGAGAATGGTCCTGTGTCAGCTAGTTATAAAATAGAAAATACACATATATATCCTATTGGAAGGAAAATACACATATACACACATCACCCAAATGGTGATGTTTTACAACACGTTATGTATAAAATTAGGCATAAAATTGAACTTTAGTTTTCAGTGAAGTATGAATAAAATAGTGAAGAGCTCTCCAGGTTGACAATTATGGGAACAATTCTAAAACTACTCATCAGCTGATTGCGACTCCTTATAAAATTAATTTAAATGCACCAAAAGCCATATTGCATTTATACTATAGAAGGTAAAACTGGTACAGCCATTTCATAAAAAGATTTTTGATATTTTCCTGTTTTTTTTAAATTGAATAATTGTGACACAGAGAATGAGAAATGCATTAATCTTATTCTTAGAGGTTTCTCTGTCGAGTTTAAGTTGCCAATGTCATATGCCTGGCAGTGCGGTGGCCAATTTAAATGGAACCATAGGGGATTCAGTCCATGTAAACTACTTAAACATCACCTGACGGTCCCCTCCCCTGCACCGTGGGCTGCCATAACCTAATTTAACAAGCTCTTTCAGAGTTTGGACATTTCTTTGGTAACAACTGACATTACCTGGCATTATTTCATGTTTTATTCTGAATTATTCTACTACAGAAGCTTAAGTTTAATTCCATCTATACATATTATTTAATGTTTGCTTTGTCATGGCTCTGAGCTAGATGTTGTGAAACAATGTGCTTAACTGCCACTTTTACTCCCACTGTTGATACTACTAATTGCCGGGCGCGGTGGCTCAGGCCTGTAATCCCAGCACTTTGGGAGGCCGAGGCGGATCATGAGGTCAGGAGTTGAGCCTGGCCAACATGGTGAAACCTCGACTCTACTAAAAATACAAAAAATTAGCCAGGCGTGGTGGCGCGCACCTGTAATCCCAGTTACTCAGAAGGCTGAGGCAGGAGAATCACTTGAACCCAGGAAGCGGAGGTTGCAGTCAGCTGAGATCATGTCACTGCACTCCAGCCTGGGTGACAGGGTGAGGCTCCATCTCAAAAACCAAAACAAAACAAAACAAATAAAAAAAATCTACTAATTATAATTTTTGCTTCAGCAGCACTCAGTAGATTTTAGCTACTTTGGATCAGATCATATACTAATTTTTTAATTATGGTAATACACATGAAATTTACCATTTGAACTGTTTTATATGTAAAGTTCAGTAGCATTAAGTACATTCACGTTGTGCAACCATCACTACCATCCATCTCTAGAGCTCTTTCACCTTCCCAAATGAAAACGCTGAACCCACTAACAATAACCTCCATTACCAGCCCCTGGCAACAACTATTCTATTTCTTGTCTCTATGAATTTGACTACTCTAGGTACCTCATATAAATGAATAACGTAGTAGTTGTCCTTTTGTGTCTAGCTTATTTTCCTTAGCATAATGTCTTGAAAGTTCATCTGTGTTACAGTACGGGCCAGAATTTTCTTCCTACACTGCACTAGGCTTCTCCGTTTGTCCATCAATGGAAATTTGGGTTGTTTCTCTTTTGGCTCTTGCGGATACATCTGCTCTGAACATTGGCGTAACATAACCTAATTATTTTATGTGTATTAATTCATTTAATCTTCACAACCTATTTTACTCAAGTTAACTATTTCATGATAGGTACTTTACTAATCCCATTTTATAACTGAGGAAACAAAAACTCAGGGAGATAAAGGAATTTGTCCAAAGTCACACAGCTAGTAAGGGGTAGAGCCTGGATGATTCCAAGCTTATCCCTAATCACTAAGGATAAGATAGCACACTTCCTTCAAGGAAGTTAGAATTGCACAAACCGTAAGAAAAGTATACAAATACCTAGTAAGCACACTGGCATGTGATAAATGCTGAGAGCTTTTTAAGGGAAAGTGCCAGACATATTTAGCATGCAGGCTTAGTAAAAATCTAGATTAGGTCTGGCAGCCAAAATCTAGATTATGACCTGCTTTACACAGCCAGAGAACTAAGAATGGTTTTACATTTGTAAAGCGTTGCGTTTAAAAAAAAAAAAAAAAAGAGGGCGGGGGCTGGGTATGGTGGCTCAGGCCCGTAATCCCAACATTTTGGGATGCTGAGGTGGCTGGACTGCTTGAGCCCAGGAATTCAAGACCAGCCTGAGCAACATAATGAGATCCCATCTTTACAAAAAATATAAATGTTCGCTGGGTGTTATGACATGTGACTGTGGTCCCAGCTACTCGGGAGGCTGAGGTGGGAGGATCACCTGAGCCCACAGAGGTTGAGGCTACACTAAGCTGTGATCTTGCCACTGTACTCCAAACCTGGGCAACAGAGCAAGACTGTGTTTCAAAAAGAGAAAGAGAAAGAGAGAAGAGGGGAAAAGAAAAAAAGAGGAAAGGAAAAAAGCAAGGAAGGAAGGAAGGAGGAGGAGGAGGAAGGGAGGGAGGGAGGGAAGGAAGACAGAGAAAGAAAAAAGAAAAAAAAGAAATGTAACAGAGACCTTACATGGTCCACAATACCAAAATCATTTTCCATCTGTCTCTTTACAGCAGAAGTTTGCTAACTCCCATGTTTAAATTTTATTTTTAATTGATGAATAATAATTGTACATTTTTAAGAGGTGCAATGTGATGTTTGGATACATGCATACACTGTAAAATGATCGAATCAGGCTAATCAGCATATCAGTCACCTCAAATATGTATCATTCTTTTAGCGGTGAGAATAGTTAAAATCCTCTCATATATTTCAAAACAGACAACACTTATTAACTACATTCACTATGCTGTGCAAAAGAACAACAGAAATTATTATTCCTATCTACCCAAAACTATGTACCTACTGACCAACATCTCCCCCTTCCCTATCCACCCTCTCCTCTAGCCTCTGGTAACCACCATGCTACTCTCTACTCCTGTGAGCACTGTCTTTAAATTCCACATGTAAGTGAGACTATATGGTATTTGTCTCTCTGTGCCTGGTTTATTTCACTTAACATAATGTCCTCCAGGTTCATCCATGTTATCACAAGTGTCAGAGTTCCCTGCATCACGGGTTTTAATCCACACCTTTGATGTACTTGGCTCTAGTAAGTACAAGCGTGGGGGAAATGTAAAACTCTTTTGGTGCAAGCATTCTGCATCATGTTTCAGACTTTCAAAGAAAATTTTAAGTCATCCTCAACAACATCACATTAATTTGAGGCTAGAGAAGATACGGACTATAACCCTGACAAAAGCCACTTGAGCAAATCCGTCAGAATCATTCTGCAGGTATAAATTTTTAAATCACAAACTCATGAGGGAAAATGTAACTTCATTTCTCCATAACCCAGAAAGCTTTCTAGTAGGAGCTGGAATTCTGGCTGATACACAGACTGGAAGTAGTCACAGCAGGTGTCTCTGTCCAGTTAAGGGATAAGCCTGTCAGTTCGTGTCTGTATTGGTCGCAGACCCTTGAAAATTCCTTCAGGGGTTCTTTTACTTCCCCTTCATCCCCAGAGTTAACTCTGGTCTCTTCTGGCTTTGCTAATTGCCTTGGTAAAGCGGGGAGGGGAGTGTGTTCAAGCCCCAAGTAGAGGTCAGCACTGCACTGTCCTCAGGGATGGCGACCTGCTGCCGATGGAGCCAAGTCCTCCCATCCCAGGCTGGGACAGTGCTCTCCACAACGTTTTGGTGACCCTTTCTCCTCCCTCTGCCAGACCTCAGGCAGGAACATGGTCTTGCTCACCTGCCTTTGGTACCTCAGGGTGTCCTTGGATAACTGGGGCTGTCCTCACCGGCCACCAGAGCTGCAGCAGGGCGTCCAGTCCTGTCACTGAATGTGCCGCAGCACAACGAGGATGCCGTGCAGGCTGCTCTTGGAGACTGGCGTCCTCCTTTCCACTACACACATGAGAGTGCCCACTCAGATCCCTGAGCTTCAGTGAAGACTTCCATTAAGCCACCACCGGCAAGGCTCTGCTTGAGAGCAGAGCTTCAGGGCAGTCCCCACCTCTCTATGCATCCTATCGTGCAGTCCTGCTGAGGGTTCCTAGTCTGCGAGATAGCAGAAAAATTAAAACACCTTTAGCCTGCTCAATTCCCTTTCAAACTTTTTCTACCTCAGACCAAAAGATGCTTTTGGACTTCAGAAGTGAAGATTAATGCCTTGGTTCACAGTCTCTGCAATGATCCCCTTTTCTCTCTACAGAAGACTCAAGACAATCTGAGTTAGGAGCAAAGACGGAGGTCTGAGGGCACTGGCGAAAAAATTCAGTGAGCTTGGAAGCAGGGTCATTTATGTTAATTGTACATGTCATCCCACACAGAAATGGCCTTTATAGGAATTATCAGTGTCGTGAAGAAAGTTTTGATTTCCATTTTTAAACCTCATATCCCCTCATCAAAAGCTCCCATCATGAGTTTCTGGCTGACTTACGCCAGGACTCACAGAATGATTCATCCCTACATGAAAAAGTATTTTCACCAGCCTCAAAGGTTTTCAGGAATTACTAGATCAAAGAATTGTTAAAGAAACTTTCCAAAAGCTCATTCTACTTGCCCCTCCAAGCAAAATACTAACTTTGTGATGGATTTTAGACATTCCTAGTCCGTAACAGCGGCATGAAACTTTTTTTCTTTTTTTTTTTTTTTAATAGAGACAGGGTTTTGATGTTGCCCAGGCTGGTCTCCAACTCCTGGGCTCAAGGTGATCCAACCGCCTCAGCCTCCCAAAGTGCTGGGATTACAGGCGTGAACCACCCTGCCCGGTCCCGCACAGAAGTTTTTGATGTTAGGTGTACCACCTTCAATGATGGCTGTGTGGATCCAATATCTGCTTCTCTTTCATTCATAAAATTCACCAAGTTCACATTGGAAAACATTATTCTATGGTTATTCCAGAAAATATTAGATTATCCCCATTTTGTTTGAAAACTGACTGAAAATATGACATCATGTTCCCATCTGGCAGGAGTGCACAGCAGGCATGGAAAATGGGGATGAGTGCGTCCAAGTTAGTTCCAATTTTCAAACATTCATCCCGCACCGCCTGTTCAGTTGCCTGGGTAAAATTGCCCCACGCAGAGAAGCTTTTACCCCAGGTTAATAAAGATGCTTTTTATATTAGTATTTGAGTTGTGGTCACTAGTAATGTTTTCTAGTTCAGATTGTGAAATTTGTATTTGTTACTATCTTTGTTTTTATACCTCAAAGAACCATTTAGAGTCACTGATTCATGTCCATAAAGCAGGAACTTTCCGAAATTTAGTAAGAATAGCTAAGTACAAATCTAAAAAAAAAATTACATACTTCAGAAACTAAAAATGCATTCACTGAGATGCCTTATATCCTAATTAAATATTAGCTGAATTGTAATTGATCTTACATTTTGATTTTGTGAAATATATATTGCCTTTACTCCAAAATTTACTAGACCACCTTCTTACGTATGGCAGTGGGCATTAGGTGGCTTGTGAATTTGAGAACTGCTCTATGGGGTTAGTGTCTGAGATTCATCAACTGAGCATGGAACAAGAAGAGAATAGCACTTTAAAGAACATTAACTGAGGACTTTGCTAAGCATTTATTTAATTAGGGAAAGCTTCAAAAGTTGAAGTTCGATCATGGGACTTTCAAAATAATCCAAGTGAGACATGAAGAGACTAAGCTGAGGGGGAGATCCATGGAAATGATGTATTAGAATCATAAGCATGAACTGTTTCAACAGACAATACACAGAATTTGGAAAAAGGAGGGAGTGATAACTCTAAGATTTTTTTCCACAAATCAACATTCATACATATTATTTTGTATTCATATACTGTGATCTTCATGGAGTAAGGTGCTAATGTAAAAAAATTGATTATTGGAGTTTATAAAAGCAACTTTTGACCATTTTCTCTGTGTGTGTGTCTACATAGCAAACTTACTTCCTCAGAGAAGCAGAAACTCTTTGTCTTACTGACACTGGAATCTATCCTCTGTAGTTTTATTCCATCAAAAAGATAACTAGGCTGGGCGTGGTGGCTCATGCCTGTAATCCCAGCACTCTGGGAGGCCGAGAAAGGTGGATCACGAGGTCAGGAGATTGAGACCATCCTGGCTAACATGGTGAAACCCCGTCTCTACTAAAAATACAAAAAAAAAAAAAGTTAGCCAGGCGTGGTGGTGGGTGCCTGTAGTCCCAGCTTCCTGGGAGGCTGAGGCAGGAGAATGGCGTGAACCTGGGAGGTGGCGCTTGCAGTGAGCAGAGATCACGCCACTGCACTCCAGCCTGGGTGACAGAGCGAGACTCTGTCTCCAAAAAAAAAAAAAAAAAAAAAAAAAACCAACAGCAAAAAAAACAGATAACTAAGACTTTGGCCCTACAATATTTACACTCTGCATGGAAAACAACCCACCAAATATGTTTTCTGTACTTACTGAAAAACCACCAACTATGGTTTTATATTCACTGAATACAAGTAAATTAATGAAACATTTTCAGGACAATCAGGCACAGATTGCTATTTTTTCTATTGAGTTGAGATAATTATTTGGGCTAATAATAGAAAGAAAGTGTGTATCCACTCCTGGAAGGCTGTGTGCTGTGCTATAAGAGAAGCTGATGCCTCTGCTTCCCCATCTTTGTTCTGTGGAGCCACACAGGCAGCCTGATACCTGGGCAAATGCTTACCTGCCCAGATCCGAAGGGCTGGTGCACCCAGATTCGTGGCTAGGTTGTGTGCAGCACAAATTCCCGCCTCTAGTTTCCCTGCTTTCCTCTTTTCCTAAGAAATCAGTACCTGAGCTTTTTCAAAATAACTGGAGAAGAAATGAGGCAGAAAGTATCTTTTTAAACACAATCCTCATTCACTCAGAAAATTGAGAAAAAAGTTCTAAGTGATAATTGATGACAACCTGTAAAATTTTTCAACAGCTTGAGTGTCTATTTTATCTACAATATTGTCATCAACTCATAACCAAATATCACAAATAGGCAGCATAATGGCCTCATTAGGGCAGTTTCCACAGTGACCCACACCATCAACAATGGCATGCATCTGTCATGCATCTTCCCAGAAAGTCCTAAAATTCTACAGGAAAAACCTCTTGGAAAGAAAGTTTCAAACGTTGATGAGGTCCACCCATATAGTTAATCTCTTCAGGTGAGAAGCTATAAACATAAGACGCTTCTTCGGTTTCATCCATTTTGTAAACTCATTTGCTGAAATGTTCTTCACAGTAATATCTGTGTTCACTGCATTGTTTCCAAGTATTTAAAATCCCTGAAGAAGTAAGTAATCCATGTGTTTTACGCCATTTCAACAGAAATGTCTTAGGCAATGTTTATCTTTGCTGCTTACAGATCCCCAAATGAGACAGCTTGCTTCATTAGTGAAGGCCCCTTGAAAAAATTCTCAAACTCTCCTTCGGTCTAACGCATGGTTAGTTATTGTACATTCATTTTGCGACTTTAAAAAGGAGCAATTGCAGAGGTGTCAAGCCACAAATAACAATGCTGTCTAACTTCGTTAGACCATGAAAACACATGGGGTTATCCTTGCAAAAAAGCATATGTATTGTTTAATTTATTGCAGTAGCATCTTGAATCACATCTATCGTGAGAGAATATAAAATCTTTTTCATGTTTTTCACACACTGTCATAACTTATTATTGTTTTCCATTATCTTAATATTCTGCTGTCTAAGAGATGTAGCCCCTGGGTGACCTGAAAGTCTGGTGAAGCTAGTATGATCAGGGATATAATAAGACAGTGACCATCTATGGACCTTGGACACAATACTAGAGAGCATGATAGATGCATGTGGGCCATAATGATGTTGATATTAATACGCTATTAATTCCTCTCTGACTCCAGTAAATCATCTCCACCTTGTCTAGGTTTTGCATTTCCAAATGCTTGCCCTTTCTCTCTTAATAATTCTCCTTAATATCCCACATTCCTTTAACCTGAGGTGGAAAACTCATAAGTGGGGAGGGAAATCCTAAAACTCACTAGGTGACACAATACACTAAAGCATTCCAGCTTGGGTCAGCAGACATGTTACAGCTGCAGACTCTTATGTTTTCTCTCTTTAGACCAAAGAGTTTATCTCACACTCATCATGTGTTGGTCTGTGAGTGGCCAAGACAACATTCAATGAGCAACCAGCAAACCCTCCCTTATGCTAGAATGCTTACTTATGGGGATACTAAAAAACACTAGGTCTGTTATAGTTCTACTTGGAAACTTCAGATGCCTTTTCTTCTAACTCTGAAATTTTAATAAGATGGAAGAAGCACTTTCTGCATAATTGTTTATTTAAAACTAAATGCAATTCCAACCCAGAAGAGGCCTCTTTTGGATAAGACTAGCCAAGTTACAGATGAAGACAACAGGGTCTTAGCTGTCAGTGAGATAGCCCTCTTTGATCTTGGGAAATTCTGAAGGAATTTCTCATTTCAAAATAAGAATAAATACTTTTGGGTAAAGGGAGGAGAGAAAATTCTTCAGGTCACCTTCCATTTTTTCCTTATAAACAAATTACAATCAGTTGACCTCAGCCTAGCATTTTGATTAAAAATAACTCAAGATAGGACTGAAAGAAAACACCAAGAAGAGAGTTTTATCCTAATCTTAGAAAGGCATATTCATATGACAACCAGCATAAGAAGCAAGGAATCTGAATTACAGAAAAATAAACTTTAAACTGAAACTGCTAATATAATAAATGCAGAGGAGACACAGGGCAGCAAATGCATAAATAAATGTATGTCTTTAGCCAGTATGTGAATGATACCCAAAACGGCTGGTTTTCCATCTCAAACAGTCATGGAATAACAACTTCACAGTGTTTATTAATTGTTGAAATTGTCTAAAATAAGAGATTATATTTTCACAAATTCATTTGACACAGACACAGCTATAAGCACATGAGAAGACAGGCCTAAGGAAAAAGGTAAAATTAATTCACCTATGTCTGTATTTGTCAACTAAACAAAGCATCGATCCATTTATTATAAAGTATAATAAAACTAAGGACAACCATTGCATAATTAAATTGCCTCTGAAAGCCAATTATTGATTATGGAGAAAACCAAGTTTTACAACTGTATGTGTGTATCATATAAAGATTTCATTTCCTAATACAGATCATTCATTATTCATTTTGAAATGTTAAGAATTTACTATGTGCCAGTGTATCGTTTGAAGTCTCATATTTTAAACATTTTAAACTATAGGTTAATTTTCTGAAATTTTCGATTAGTGTCAGAAGAAGTTACAGAAAAAGGAATAACAAACATGTTTAAATAATTAAATGGTTTCAATGGCATCTCGGAATTTCTTTGATATTATTATCAAAATGTTTTCTTCAATTCTACTCAAAACCTTATTTTTTTGCCCTAAGTCTTTGTCAGCTTATTTCAGTCTTATTTTTACATGTAATATACCACAGAGTTCTTCTTAGCTTCAAGTGATGCAATGTGAAAGGTGTAGAAATGCACACTGACCCTTAGCCTCTTAAATTTACAACAGGTCGGCCAGGCGCGGTGGCTCACGCCTTTCGGAGGCCGAGGCGGGCAGACCACGAGGTCAGGAGATTGAGACCATCTGGGCCAGCATGGTGAAACCCCTCCTCTACTAAAAATACAAAAATTAGCCTGGTGTGGTGGCGGGCACCTGCAGTCCCAGCTACTCGGGAGGCTGAGGCAGGTGAATCACTTGAGCCCAGGAGGTGGAGCTTGCAGTGAGCCGAGATTGCACCACTGCACTCCAGCCTGGCAACACAGCAAGACTCCATCTCGATAAATAAATAAATAAATAAATAAATAAATAAATAAATAAATAAATTTACAACAGGTCACTTTATCCTCAAATTAGCCAATACCATGTTAGAGGTTATACTGAAATTCTAACTATGAAGATGTAGAAAGCAAAAACATATTTAATTAGTTATAATCCAATCTGTGCAATATTCATGATAATACATTTTTACAAGTTGAAAGTAATTCTGGATTATGCTTCATAACTTATGAAACCTTTGGTGGAAAAACTGAGTCTTCCCCATTAAAGGGAATTAAATAAGTTGCTTATAAAAGTGCATTAACTTGTTTGGCCCATGGGTTCATCATTTAGTGGCATGGAAGAACTAGTTTACTTGTGGTATCCAAGAGGCATGAAGAAAGACACCTCCAAAAAGTCCATTTTGATTCTTTACACTGGGACAGACGGGATGCATAGCTACCTTGTTCCCCTCTCACCCCTCAGGCTAAGGCTTGAGTAACTATCGCAGCTGTTTCCATGGCGTCTTCCCATCACATGGGTACAAGGCACTGGGCTGCACAACAGGGAAACTACTTGTTTTCTGCCTGTTAATTTTTAGCTCTGAGATCTTTACACTCCACTGGAGAAAGGCTTTAATGTCTGAGACAGGGGGTCATTATTTGTTAGTTTAATTATTTATGATCAGAACATTTGTTCAGTCACTCTTCCATAGACCATTCTGAATCTAATAAAGGATAATAAAACACTAGAGATAATCTATAGCCTTCAATAAATCACTCCCAATTTGGAACTCCTTTGATGAATACTCCAGGCTACCATGAGGGAGAAGAAAAAAGTCAAAACCAATTAAAAAAAGCAACAACAATGAATTTGTAATAAACTCAGTTGATAGCTAACTAAAGTAAGCCTGTTTTTCTAACTTCATTAACATGAAAATAAATTTTATTAAGATTGATATCATGCTTTTTTGCACGAGGAGTTACAGGAACATGAACTAAGAATAAAAATGATCCCTATGATAAAGAATCCTCATAATCATGTACTTTAGTACAAAATATGATTTGACATCAAGAAGAGCTATGGCTTGAGATTGCTCTTGTTTTCCTTTACCCCCTGTGCCCAGGCTTAGTCACTGTTTCAGTGATAATGACCATCCACTGAGGCTCTGCAGCAATAGAATCTAAAGTAACAAAACAGAGCCCATATCTCTGCAACAAATGAAATCACAGACTTAAGAAACATAAACAGAAAAACAAAAAGTTAAGTTGTTCATGTTTCATAGCCATACTGCCTATAACAAATGCCAGAACATATTTATTTGGTCCAATGTGCAATGCATTAAATGTGCTCAAATACAGAAAACACCAAGAAATGCAACAGGGAGTTAAAAAAAAAAAAAAAGGCTGGGCGCGGTTACAGGCTCACGCCTATAATCCTATCACTTCAGGAGGCCGAGGTGGATGGATCAGGAGGTGAGGAGATCCAGACCACCTTGGCTAACATGGTGAAACCCCGTATCTACTAAAAAAAAAAAAAAATACAAAAAATTAGTCGGGCCTGGTGGCGGGTGCCTGTAGTCCCAGCTACTTGGGAGGCTGAGGCAGGAGAATGGCGTGAACCCAGGAGGCAGAGCTTGCGGTGAGCTGAGATTGCACCACCGCACTCCAGCCTGGGTGACAGATTTTGTCCGTATCTGCAGAGGAAATGGGAAAAGCCAAAAGGAGGGGCGACAACTGATGCTATGGG
Organism: Homo sapiens; assembly: GCF_000001405.40. Lineage (NCBI taxonomy): Eukaryota > Metazoa > Chordata > Mammalia > Primates > Hominidae > Homo > Homo sapiens. Next base: position 61,353,088 of record NC_000009.12, on the reverse strand, counting down.
GAGGAGCTTTACATTCAAATGAGGACACCTCCTGGCATCTCCGGATGGAGCTCCGAATTCATTACAGTATTACTTAAAGGATTTTATTAAAAGACCAAACCACACTGCACTTGTGGTTGAATGCCTTTATCAGAGATGAATCTTACATGTGTTAGGACAGGCTGACAGTGGCTCCCAAAGATATGTCTATGCCCCAATCCCGGGACCCTGTGAAGGTTACTTCAGAAGGTAAGGTTCTCCAGATGTGATCAAAGACCCTGAGACGAGGAAATTATCTTGAATTATCTGGCTGGGTCTTAAATACCATCAGAACTGCCCTTGTAAGAGAGATAAAGGTGAGGATGAACAGAGCCCCACACAAAAGAATAGTCACAGTGGAGCATGAATAAACCATTTTACATGGTTATTTCTCTACAGTGGATGCTAAGGAGAGAATCAAGTCCGCCATAATAAGAAATAAACTAAGAGTTGTAGTTAAAACATAATAAAAATCTTTTTAGACGCTTCTTTACTTTGCCAATTTTCTCATCCAAATAGGGATAATTAAATAATCTGGGACAACAAAATGTATACTGTGGCAGAACAAAAGAATCCAAGGTAAAAAAAAGGACATGACAGAATCTAAGGTCTTCGATAAATAATACTCAGATATTGCAAGGGGTATACAAAGAGTTCAAACACTGTCAAAGTCAGGTGTGACATGTTCAAGGCACACAAAGATCGTACCAAGGGAAACCCAGCAGGACCAGAAAGCCGAAGTGATCAACTTATTCCTGTCAAATACATTCTTGGAGTTTCAAATGTGAACAAATATGCTTATTCTGAATTTTACTTCCTTCTGCAAAGTATTAATCAATTATAATTATAATTATAATTATTTTGTTAAATGAATTATAATTATTTTGTTAAATGAAAATCCAATGAGAGTCACCAAGGAGCAATACAAGGAAAAAGGCAGACTCACCATCTCTTCGATTAAGCCTTGAAAACCCCGGGCCGTGGCTGCTGGACAGCTCTGAGGAGCTGCTGAAGGATGACCTAGGCAAGGCAGAGGCCAGTGGGGCATCACAGTCAGCTGCCGGGAAAAATACCGTGATATGGTTAACACTCAGATTGCAGCTTGGGAGAAATAATAGTCCAAAAATATATATGAATATATTCTAGGATGTATGGCAATCATCACTCCTTTTTTAATTTTTTACAATTTTTAAAATTTACATTGCAGTATAATTTACAGAGAGTAAAATTCCAGAGAATTTATCTGATGTTTTTAAAGTGTACAGCTCTATTCATTTTGACAAATGCATTCAGCCTTGTAACCTCCACCATAATGAAGACATAAAACAGGTCCATTAGCCCTCAAAGTTCCCTAATGTCCCACATTTTCTCAATTCTGCAAGATGTCTGGGTACATCACCCATCCAACACTACTTTAAACTCAATTTGATGCTTAGGTTCTTTAGGTGCACACACACAGAGGTAGTGTGAATTGTGTGCCCAAACCTCAATAGCGGCTAGAAATTCTCACAGTGCCCCAGCACAGAACCTGTGGGGGATGGGAAAAGTGAAATGCACCAGGTGTTCAGGTCAGAGTTACCTGCGTGAAGCCAGGACCCATGAAAGGCAACACCTGTAGTGATGAACTGGAAAAAGCCCACTCTGTAGACCCCTCCAGAGGGAATCACTGCGGGCTACTTGCCTACAGGAGATGGAGGCTCCTCCTTTTTGCCTGATAACTTGAGCATTGCAGGAACTTGCTCTGCCTTTCCAAATCACGCTAGACCAGAGGGTTTCTGGCTTGCTGCACTTCCCTAGGCTTGTTGATTTAGTCTCGGCGATTAGCTCTGCCTAGGTTCCTCTCTCCCCACTCTATGGTCTTGATTTGTCCCCTGACCCCTGCCTGGCATCACTCTTAGCTTCCCACTTCTCCTTGACAAGTATTCCCAGCATGCTTTGTGATTCCCAGCATGGTGCCTATGAAGGGTTTGGGACAGAAACCATTTCTTAGTATTATGTTCATGAAAGACAGCAGAAGATTAAAATTAGCCTAAGGGCTTCCTGTATACAAATCAACATTGCATTCACAGATGTGCTAGTTTACGACAATTTTTACCACATGAATATGAAATGATTAAAAAATCAATTTGAGGAATTGCCCTTACCTAAGACAGAGATGATATACTTTTCAAAACAGCATTTCATTTGAGTATGTTAATTCTTGCACTTATTTAATAAAAGTGTATTGAGCACCTACCATGTGCAAAGCATTATGGGGCATAAAGAGAGACATGGTTCTAGGTTCAAGAAGTCCAGAATCTAACATGGGAGGGAGATGTGTAAATATCTGTTATAGGAAATAAACAGAAGAGCAAAATATTTAGATACTACTATTTATTCCAAAACACAGGGAAGCATCTTAATTGCTTAGGAACAAAACCAGCCTCTGAAAGAGCAAACACTACTAGGGAGAGATGCGTATAAAAGTGCTTCTGGAAAAGATAAACATAAACCATGCATTTTCAAACAGCAATTCATTATTCTGGGATCTGATAATAAGAATGAAAAAAAAAAGAATGCATGTATAATACATGGACAGATTTTGTCCGTATCTGCAGAGGAAATGGGAAAAGCCAAAAGGAGGGGTGACAACTGATGCTATGGGGAGGAGCTTTACATTCAAATGAGGACACCTCCTGGCATCTCCGGATGGAGCTCCGAATTCATTACAGTATTACTTAAAGGATTTTATTAAAAGACCAAACCACACTGCACTTGTGGTTGAATGCCTTTATCAGAGATGAATCTTACATGTGTTAGGACAGGCTGACAGTGGCTCCCAAAGATATGTCTATGCCCCAATCCCGGGACCCTGTGAAGGTTACTTCAGAAGGTAAGGTTCTCCAGATGTGATCAAAGACCCTGAGACGAGGAAATTATCTTGAATTATCTGGCTGGGTCTTAAATACCATCAGAACTGCCCTTGTAAGAGAGATAAAGGTGAGGATGAACAGAGCCCCACACAAAAGAGAAGAGGGTGTGAAAATGGAGTGAGGCACCCACAAGGTGAGGCACATGGGCAACCACAGGAAGCCGGAAGAAACGAAGAATGGATGTCCCCCTAGAGCCTCCGTAGGGAGTGTGGCCCATCTTGATTTTGGACTAGGGATACTGATGCGGAACTTCTGGTCTCCAGACTATGACAGAATAAATTCTTTTGCTTTAAGTCAGCCAGTTTATGGTCAATTCTCACAAGGGCCATAGGAAATGAACACACTGTTTATATGGAATTACATATTGGATATTTTAGGGGAAATGCAGGAGAGTTCCAATGAAAATACGATTAACATCCCTTTGAATCACACAGATACTCAATTCCTTCTCAGAAGGGCTTCGTGATGCTAAGCCACTCTGCCAGGCTGTGGCTCTCCCCATGCTTGTGGCTGCACTTGCTCCTCACTGTGAAAGGAGCTAACCACTGTGTTGGCGGAACCTAAGGATGGAAGGAGAGGGGAAGGGGCCACCGAACTGCTAATATGAGGGGACGGCACCTTAACCACCTTCGAATTATCAGAAAAACACAAAGCCTACTATTAAAGAGTTCAACAGATGGTTACTGTGTTATCACAGATGTATAGAAAACCTCTTTGTTCTAAAAAAAAAAAAAAAGAAAAAAAAAGATTCCTGTCCTTTCTCAGACTGTCTCGATTAGGTCAAATTCACTAACTCCACAGCAGGCTTCTCTCTGGTTCCACATATTGAGTCAGTAGGGAGCACGGCCTCGGGAATCGAATCACAAACAGGGAAGGGGGTGCCCATACCTTCTTCAGGCCACGTCTGGATGTTCATCTGGATACGGCGCTATTCCATTCTTCCCATTTCATCACCTGTCTTTTCAGTTCTTAATGTACCTTAACATTATCTTAATGAGAGGTTAAATAAAGCTTTTATTTAGAAGGTACCAAAAGTTCATCTTGTTATGAATCTGAATTGATCTGTGCATTGCTATCTAGAGGGAATGCTTCGGAAAAAGCACATTTTACTCACAGTGAACATAAGCAGTAATGGTCAATGTAAAAATCTACTTTTTTCCATATAAAAACTTCTGTTTTACATGGTCTTGATCTCCATTCGATTATCTTCAGTCACTGTCTTCCCTACATCTCACTCCATGGGGTCTGAAGGGGGCTCACCCTACCACCTGGGGCCAGCACAGGGACACGCCTCAGGCCTGGCAACTGAATGCCATGCCTGTCCTACTGGAAAGGACTGGTTCCAGGATGGTCAGGAAGCCCATGCTGAATGAATGGGAACAGAACCTGGGACTTTCGAATGAATAACAGCAGAACCTGGGACTTTCGGCTTGAACTCTTGGGAGAAATACCCATTCATTCATTCAACAAATATTTGTTGAAAATCTATACTGTGCCAGGTATGCCCCTATGTTCTGGGGATATAACCATAAACAACAGAAAAAGTCTCTGCTCCTGTGAAGCTTATCCTACTGAGTAGAATAAACAAATAAAGGCATAATATCTGTAGAACTCAACATTGCTAAGAACAGAAATAAAGGAAAACAGTCACGCTTCTAAGCTGGTAAACGGTATGCCTGAAGCTATGGCATAGACAGAGCTGCCCAAGAATGAGGCCAGTTGTAGACGAAAATAAAACTGCAAGAAGGAAAGAGGCAGACTGCTGATGAAAGAATCTGATTGCCTAAATTCAGCCTGGCTTCAATCAAGACACTTTGGTTCCCTTTATTGTTCAAGTCTATTTGATCTTAGATTTTGGTCACCTGAAACTGAAAAATGCTCAATAAGTACACTGTCCTGAGCCCCCACCCTTATCTTCCCTCTACAGCCAATAAATTGCCAAGGATTATGTACTTTTTGTGTGTATATGGCAGCTTTTCCATTATCATGATCATCATCTCACTGTAGGTCCTCATGTTAACGACCTAACTAATCCTTACAGCCAATGCTTCCTTATTGACTGTCCCCAGCCACACACACACCTTACGTATCACCAGAGCAGAAACGGTTTTAAACTATTGCTGAGTGCAAGTCACACAAACAGCCATATCAACCAGCTCCAATGGATCCCCACTGCACCTGTCCTGAAATTCAAATTTCAGGTCCTGGCATTCAATTCCTTCCATCGCCTGTTTCCTGTCACTCTCTGCACTACAGCCAAATCCCCTACACATTTCTCAGATGTGCTTCCTCCTTTAATCGGAGTGGTCTTCTCACTGTTTCCTGAATGTGGGATGCATGCACCAACGCTCCTTGACCGCTCACCCGATGACATTGCAGCCCCTCCTGTCTGCGAGTTCCCATCACTTATTATCTTCAGGGCTCAACTCAAGTTTTGTCTCTGCTCTGAAGGCTTCTCACATGTGTGAAGGCCCCAGTAAGGCTTACTCTTCTGAAATACTGAGGTCTGTCTCATGGAAAATGAATTACACCTCTGGAGAAGGAGCAGCACCTCACTCACGGGGAGCCACACAGCAGCCACGTGTGGCGGCAGATGGGGATGAGAGGGAACAGGAGAACCTCACTCCCGAGAAAGGAGCCTTGCCTGCTGACTGATGATTCTGGGGTGAGGAAGAGAGGCTGGCATGACCAGCTGATGAGTGTCTGGTTCCCGGGACATGACAGACAATTCCTACAGTCTACCTGTGGGAACAGATGAGGCCTGGAAGAAGACACATAGAAACAGGTTTAAATTCTATAAATTAGAATTTACAGGGGGTAGGAGATAGGAGTTACACGTTGTCTCTCCTTCCAGATGATATTTTGACTTGTTAAAGAAAACCTAGCATAGGAACATTGAATACCTCCTGACATTGGTGTTTTCAAGTGACTTACAGCACTACAAATATAAAGTTATAACAACAGCATACCAATTTTAACATACCAGGACCAAGGACTTTATTCTATGAGAACTACAAAAGACACAACACAAATGAAGACCTAGAGGAAAGTTTACATAGTTTTTTTTTTTTTTTTTGAGACGGAGCCTTGCCCTGTTGCCCAGGCTAATTTTTTTTTGTATTTTTAGTAGACACGGGGTTTCACCATGTTAGCCAGGATGGTATCGATCTCCTGACCTCGTGATCCGCCTGCCTCAGCCTCCCAAAGTGCTGGGATTACAGGCGTGAGCCACCATGCCCGCTCAAGTTTACATAAATTTAAGCATCTTAATTTGATGATCTACTCTACAGTCATTACAACAATAAATATAAGAACTATTTAAACATGTGGAGAGATGAAGGAGATGGGATGGGAAAATCTGCATATGAGAAGATAATGGACAAAGAGATCTGCTGGATTGAGATGAGATAATGGGTGTTAAATCCAACAAACACAGCTCTGGAAACACAGAAGGGATTAAACATAGATCAGCTCCTTTTCCCTGAGGAAGCTGGATAGATGATCTTGTTCTCTTTCCTTTTATTTCTAAATTTCTTGCTATGTAGTTAAATTATACTTCTGTGATAAATTCAATACCTATTTTTAAACTATAGATTTTTGGCTAAAGTATATAATATGAGAATAAGATGAACCTATTTTTTTGAGACTTACTGCTAAGTAGAAAGAGAGGAAACCAAATAACAAAATTAAGTCCTGCAGAAAGACATCAGACACGACACAGAAAAAAATACAACAACACAGGTGCATATAATTTAAAAAGAAAATCATGTGGAGATGTCATCACTAATAATTGTTATTACGAATGTATCCACAGCTGTGGGAATATAAGTGATAAAGATGAGCTGCTAATAAAGGGCAATAAATGATCTTTCCACGGGTACAAAAAAATAGAAAAAATGACCCAGTATTTGATAACACAAGAGGTGACTATAGTCAATAATTACTTAATTGTACATTTTTAAATAACTTAAAGAGTGTAATTGGATTGTTTGCAACTCAAAGGATAATTGTGTGAGGGGATGGATACTCCATTTTTCTTGATGCACTTATTTCACATTGCATGCCTGTATCAAAACATCTCATGTAGCCCATCGATATATACACCTACTATGTAACCACAAAATTAAAAGCTAAAAAAATTAAAAATAATAATAATTCTTTCTATGCACCTCTGAGAGTTGACAGAACTAGCGTCTGAATGAGAACGTAAGGTATGAGAAGGATATGGCTTCTTCCCAAGACATGTTACAGAGGGATGGAAAGAAGACTGTGTTCAACTTATAACATCTTAAAGGGACGTCATGACCTCACAGGCCAGAGCAGGCTACGGAGCATCTGGGAGCTGAAGAAAGAGAACTTCAGTGATACTTAAGTAAGGGTTAAGAGATGCACTCCAATTGCATTCTGAAGACAGATCCCAACAAGACCAATGACATCAGCTAGATTTTTTTCAGCCCAAAGTAATATACCTGCAAATTATCAGAACTTGTTCACTACTCCGTACTTGGCTCTAATATGATTAGTAAGGGGGCAGTGTCAGAATCCTTGAGAAAATAATAACCAGAACATCTTAGAATTTATTGTGCCCAAGGAAGGAGCCCTGTCAATAGACAAATGTTTATTTGAGATGTCAAAAAGATAATTTTAAAACTTTAGGAAAACAGCAGGCATTATCCCATGGCAATATGTTTTATGTCCAAATTTCAACTCTATTATTTCAAGCTATGTGTGTGACTTTAGAGGCAGCTTTGACTTCAATTTTTTAACTTAAAAAGATAAGAGTATTTAGAACACAATGGGAAATGTTACATAATACTACCTTGTAGACCTCCGAGCAACCACTATACAAAGAGACACTGTTGTTATGATTGAGGACAACATCGTTCATCAAATGTGAAAAGCTACCCAAATGAAATCCAGAAAAAACATGTTCCACTGAAGAAGAGAGAAATGGGCAAAGTAACCAAGGAAAGAATATTTACAGTGAGGCTGGGCACAGTGGCCAAGATGGGCGGATCACAAGGTCAGGAGTTTGAGACGAGCCTGGCCAACATGGTGAAACTTCATCTCTAGTAAAAATACAAAAATTAGCTGGGCATGGTAGCGGGAACTTGCAATCCCAGCTACTCGGGAGGCTGAGGCAGGAGAATCACTGGAACCCAGGAGGCGGAGGTTGCAGTGAGCCAAGATTGTGCCACTGCTCTCCAGCCTAGGTGACAGAGCAAGACTCCATACCGGAAAAAAAAAAAGGAATACTTACAATGAAAAGGAACATTAAAAGGAGGCAATATAAAGCAAAGTAAGTTAAAGCCCAGAACAAATTAAGACTTTCAAACATTGCTAAATGCAATCAAAGAGATATTTGTATACTCATAAGAAAAACCAGAAGAAGCTGCACTCTTTTGACAAAGCTCATAAGGCTAAGAAAATAGACAGGTCCGGATCCAAGATGGTCGAATAGGAACAGCTCCAGTCTACAGCTCCCAGCATGGATGATGCAGAAGACAGGTGATTTCTGAATTTCCGACTGAGCTTTGGTGACAGTAGTGGTTCTCCCAGCATGGAGTTTGAGATCTGAGAATGGAAAGACTGCCTCCTTAAGTGGGTCCCTGACCCCTGAGTAGCCTAACTGGGAGACACCTCCCAGTAGGGGCTGACTGACACCGCATACAGCCAGGTGCCCCTCTGAGACGAAGCTTCCAGAGGAAGAATCAGACAGTAACATTTGCCATTCTGCAATATTTGCTGTTCTGCAGCCTCCGCTGGTGATGCCCAGGCAAACAGGGTCTGGACTGGACCTCCAGCAAACTCCAACAGACCTACAGCTGAGGGTCCTGACTCTTAGAAGGAAAACTAACAAACAGAAAGGACAACCACACAAAACCCCATCTGTACGTCACCACCATCAAAGACCAAAGGTACATAAAACCACAAAGATGGGGAGAAACCAGAGCAGAAAAGCTGAAAATTCTAAAAATCAGAGCACCTCTTCTCCTCCAAAGGAACGCAACTCCTCGCCAGCAACGGAACAAAGCTGGATGGAGAATGACTTTGACGAGTTGAGAGAAGAAGGTTTCAGATGATCGGTAATAACAAACTTCTCCGAGCTAAAGGAGGATGTTCGAACCCGTCGCAAAGAAGCTAAAAACCTTGAAAAAGGATTAGACGAATGGCTAACTAGAATAAACAGCGTAGAGAAGACCTTAAATGACCTGATGGAGCTGAAAACCACGAGAACTACATGACACATGCACAAGCTTCAGTAGCCAATTCGATCAACTGGAAGAAAGGGTATCAGTGATTGAAGATCAAATGAATGAAATGAAGCGAGAAAAGAAGTTTAGGGAAAAAAGAGTAAAAAGAAACGAACAAAGCCTCCAAGAAATATGTGACTGTGAAAAGACCAAATCTACGTCTGATTGGTGTAACTGAAAGTGACAGGGAGAAAGGAACCAAGTTGGAAAACACTCTGCAGGATATTATCCAGGAGAACTTCCCCAACCTAGCAAGGCAGGCCAACATTCAAATTCAGGCAATACAGAGAATGCCACAAAGATACTCCTCGAGAAGACCAACTCCAAGACACATAATTGTCAGATTCCCCAAAGTTGAAATGAAGGAAAAAATGTTAAGGGCAGCCAGAGAGAAAGGTCGGGTTACTCACAAAGGGAAGCCCATCAGACTAACAGTGGATCTCTCGGCAGAAACTCTACAAGCCAGAAGAGAGTGGGGGCCAATATTCAACATTCTGAAAGAAAAGAATTTTCAACCCAGAATTTCACATCCAGCCAAACTAAGCTTCATAACTGAAGGAGAAATAAAATCCTTTACAGACAAGCAAATGCTGAGAGATTTTGTCACCACCAGGCCTGCCTTACAAGAGCTCCTGAAGGAAGCACTAAACATGGAAAGGAACAACCAGTACCAGCCACCGCAAAAACATGCCAAATTGTAAAGACTATCAAGGCTAGGAAGAAACTGCATCAACTAATGAGCAAAATAACCAGCTAACATCATAATGACAGGATCAAATTCACACATAACAATATTAACCTTAAATGTAAATAGGCTAAATCCTCCAATTAAAAGACACAGAGTGGCAAATTGGATAAAAAGTCAAGACCCATCAGTGTGCTGTATTCAGCAGACCCCGCTCACGTGCAGAGACACACATAGGCTCAAAATAAAGGTATGGAGGAAGGTCTGCCAAGCAAAGGGAAAACAAAAAAAAAGCAGGGGCTGGAATCCTAGTCTCTGATAAAACAGACTTTAAACCAACAAAGATCAAAAGAGACAAAGAAGGCCATTACATAATGGTAAAGGGATCAATTCAACAAGAAGAGTTAAATATCCTAAATATATACGCACCCAGTACAGGAGCACCCAGACTCATAAAGCAAGTCCTTAGAGACGTACAAACAGACTTAGACTTCCACACAATAATAATGGGAGACTTTAACACACCACTGTCAACAACAGACAGATCAACGAGACAGAAAGTTAAAAAGGATATCCAGGAATTGAACTCAGCTCTGCACCAAGCAGACCTAATAGACATCTACAGAACTCTCCACCCCAAATCAACAGAATATATATTCTTCTTAGCACCACATCACACTTACTCCAAAATTGACCACATAGTTGGAAGTAAAGCACTCCTCGGCAAATGTAAAAGAACAGAAATTATAACAAACTGTCTCTCAGACCACAGTGCAATCAAACTAGAACTCAGGATTAAGAAACTCACTCAAAACCACTCGACTACATGGAAACTGAACAACCTGCTCCTGAATGACTACTGGGTACACTGAGAAATGAAGGCAGAAATAAAGATGTTCTTTGAAACCAACGAGAACAAACACACAACATACCAGAATCTCTGGGACACATTTAAAGCAGTGTGTAGAGGGAAATTTATAGCACTAAATGCCCACAAGAGAAAGCAGGAAAGATCTAAAATTGACACCCTAACATCACAATTAAAAGAACCAGAGAAGCAAGAGCAAACGCATTCAAAAGCTAGCAGAAGGCAAGAAATAACTAAGATCAGAGCAGAACTGAAGGAAATAGAGACACAAAAAAACCCTTCAAAAAATCAATGAATCCAAGAGCTGGTTTTTTTGAAAAGATCATCAAAATTGATAGACCGCTAGCAAGACTAATAAAGAAGAAAAGAGAGAAGAATCAAATAGACATAATAAAAAATGACAAAGGGGATATCACCACCAATCCCACAGAAATACAAACTACCATCAGAGAATACTATAAACACCTCTACGCAAATAAACTAGAAAATCTAGAAGAAATGGATAAATTCCTCAACACATACATCCTCCCAAGACTAAACCAGGAAGAAGATGAATCTCTGAATAGACCAATAACAGGCTCTGAAATTGAGGTAATAAGTAATAGCTTACCAACCAAAAAAAGTCCAGGACCAGATGGATTCACAAGCCCAATTCTACCAGAGGTACAAGGAGGAACTGGTACCATTCCTTCTGAAACTATTCCAATCAACAGAAAAAGAGGGAATCCTCCCTAACTCATTTTATGAGGCCAGCATCATCCTGATACCAAAGCCTGGCAGAGACAAAACCAAAAAAGAGAATTTTAGACCAATATCCTTGATGAACATTGATGCAAAAATCCTCAATAAAATACTGGCAAACCGAATGCAGCAACACATCAAAAAGCTTATCCACCATGATCAAGTGGGCTTCAGCCCTGGGACGCAAGGCTGGTTCAACATACGAAAATCAATAAACGTAATCCAGCATATACACAGAACCAAAGACAAAAACCTCATGATTATCTCAATAGATGCAGAAAAGGCCTTTGACAAAATTCAAAGACGCTTCATGCTAAAAACTCTCAACAAATTAGGTATTGATGGCACCTATCTCAAAATAATAAGAGCTATCTATGACAAACCCACAGCCAATATCATACTGAATGGACAAAAACTGGAAGCATTCGCTTTGAAAACTGGCACAAGACAGGATGCCCTCTCTCACCACTCCTATTCAACATAGTGTTGGAAGTTCTGGCCAGGGCAATCAGGCAGGAGAAGGAAATAAAGGGCATTCAATTAGGAAAAGAGGAAGTCAAATTGTCCCTGTTTGCAGATGACATGATTGTATATCTAGAAAACCCCATCGTCTCAGCCCAAAATCTCCTTAACCTGATAAGCAACTTCAGCAAAATCTCAAATTCAAGATTTTGTATCTTGATTTGATACAAAATCAATGTGCAAAAATCACAAGCATTCTTATACACCAATAGCAGACAAACAGAGAGCCAAATCATGAGTGAACTCCCATTCACAATTGCTTCAAAGAGGATAAAATACCTAGGAATCCAACTTACAAGGGATGTGAAGGACCTCTTCAAGGAGAACTACAAACCACTGCTCAAGGAAATAAAAGAGGATACAAACAAACGAAAGAACATTCCATGCTCATGGGTAGGAAGAATCAGTATCATGAAAATGGCCATACTGCCCAAGGTAATTTATAGATTCAATGCCATCCCCATCAAGCTACCAATGACTTTATTCACAGAATTGGAAAAAACTACTTTAAAGTTCATTTGGAACCAAAAAAGAGCCTGCATTGCCAAGTCAATCCTAAGCCAAAAGAACAAACCTGGAGGCATCACACTACCTGACTTCAAACTATACTACAAGGCTACAGTAACCAAAACAGCATGGTACTGGTACCAAAACAGAGATATAGAACAACAGAACAGAACAGAGCCCTCAGAAATAATGCCGCATATCTACAACTATCTGATCTTTGAGAAACCTGACAAAAATAAGCAATGGGGAAAGGATTCCCTATTTAATAAACGGTGCTGGGAAAACTGGCTAGCCATAAGTAGAAAGCTGAAACTGGATCCCTTCCTTACACCTTATACAAAAATTAATTCAAGATGGATTAAAGACTTAAATGTTAGACCTAAAACCATAAAAACCCTAGAAGAAAACCTAGGCAATACCATTCAGGACACAGTCATGGGCAAGGACTTCATGTCTAAAACACCAAAAGCAATGGCAACTAAAGCCAAAATTGACAAATGGGATCTAATTAAACTAAAGAGCTTCTACAGAGCAAAAGAAACTACAATCAGAGTGAACAGGCAACCTACAGAATGGGAGGAAATTTTTGCAACCTACTCATCTGACAAAGGGCTAATATCCAGAATCTACAATGAACTCAAACAAATTTACAAGAAAAAAACCAACAATCCCATCAAAAAGTGGGCAAAGGATATGAACAGACACTTCTCAAAAGAAGACATCCATGCAGCCAAAAAACACATGAAAAAATGCTCATCACCACTGGCAATCAAATGCAAATCAAAAACCACAATGAGATACCATCTCACACCAGTTAGAATGACAATCATTAAAAAGTCAGGAAACAACAGGTGCTGGAGAGGATGTGGAGAAATAGGAACACTTTTACACTGTTGGTGGGACTGTAAACTAGTACAACCATTGTGGAAGTCGGTGTGGCAATTCCTCAGGGATCTAGAACTAGAAATACCATTTGACCCAGCCATCCCATTACTGGGTATATACCCAAAGGATTATAAATCATGCTGCTATAAAGACACATGCACACGTATGTTTATTGCGGCACTATTCACAATAGCAAGACTTGGAACCAACCCAAATGTCAATCAATGATAGACTGGATTAAGAAAATGTGGCACATATACACCATGGAATACTATGCAGCCATAAAAAATGATGAGTTCATGTCCTTTGTAGGGACATGGATGAAGCTGGAAACCATCATTCTCAGCAAACTATCGCAAGGACAAAAAACCAAACACCACATGTTCTCACTCATAGGTGGGAACTGAACAATGAGAACACATGGACACAGGAAGGGGAACATTACACAACGGGGACTGTCGTGGGGTGGGGGTACGGGGGAGGGATAGCATTAGGAGATATACCTAATGCTAAATGACTAGTTAATGGGTGCAGCACACCAACATGGCACATGTATACATATGTAACAAACCTGCACATTGTGCACATGTACCCTATAACTTAAAGTATAATAATAATAAAATAATAAAAAATTAAAAAGTTCAGTGTTCGAGTTCTCTGTCTCTTGGCCTCTGTGATGCCTGCAGAAACCCAGTCGCAACCCATTCATTCATATTCCTCTCCTTAGAGCCAGGAGTTAGCGCCCCAAGGGCAGTGCTGAATCCCTGGACAGGACTCGGGATAAATGCATTCCCCCTGCTGTCTCTCAGAGGCACAGCTGTGAAACACATTCTCCCGGCTTCCTGAGAGCTTCCCAGGGAGTTCATGCCCCAGTTGCTCACAGAAGTGACCAGCTCAATGACACCCCCTTTTGGTGGATTTTTCTTCTCTATTCCATTCTTCCCTCTTTTATGAGCTCACTTTCTAAAAGAGGCTACCTGCACAAACGCCCATCACAGGCTCAGCTGTCTAAGAAAACTCTGGCTGGGAGAGTGGACTTTCCAGAATGGAATGTGGGCAGTATTCTAAAATACTAAATAAAATGCAACAGGAAAATCAAAGGGATGAACGTCACATGGCATAAAGAAGGAGGTAGAGGACATCTGCCTAGCCTTCCAAGAACAAAACAAATTGACAATCAACCCTGGCCACCCAGGAGATGAGCTTTGTCACAGCAATTCTTCCTCATATCCCAGAAAAGAGAAGAAGAAATGAGGACAGTAGAATCAACTGTGACATCCAAAAAAGGCTGCCCAATCTCTTCTCTAGAATGTGTCAACTGTGATTTATGAAATAACATATGCTATTTTTATATTGCAATGTTTGCTTATCTATAGGTAAGAGCTCACCATTTCTTATATCATGTTATAATTATATTCATGAAGAAGATGACCATTGCACAGACAAGTACACTGTGAAGAACCGTGAGGAGAGATTTTACCCTACTTGCAAGCTAACAAATGAGTCTGCCAGTTTGTTTCATCGTTGCGGCAGAAGACTCCTGGGTCAAAGCAAAGGACTGTATTACTTACAGCATAGCAAACAATATGAGCATCAGCATATTTGCATCAATTTCCTTGCCTCCAAGTCCTCTGGGGGAATATGGATGGGCACAGATGGATGTGTGCACACGCAGTGGGTTACATGACAAGTGAGGAGCCCTGAGCTTAGGGAATTCAAAGTTTTCTACGGGCAGCAGGCATTGCTTACCCTTTGGCAACACTGCTGAAATAAATCTCTTATAGTTCAAGATGTATTGATAAGCATGTTAAGCTTATTTTTATACATGAAGAACAACAAATTGTTATTTTCTATGGTTATTCACAGTATCTCAAAATCTATGTGATATTTTACTAGCTTAGTTTTATTATAATTTTAAAAGACCATTTGGGTTCCTTTGTTAGTGGACAAGAATAAAAAGAGATAAATTAGTTACTTTCTTAAAGCTAAGCAACATCATTTTCTATTGAGGAACCCAAAACTTTCCTAACTTTTACAAATGTTTGTAAATTGTAGGTTCTGTGACAGCCAGTGCTATAAAATTTCATAAGCTTATAAGAGCTTTCTTAACACAGCTGTGGACTTTTCTCCTGGTGTTGTACAGCAGTTCAAATTAGCTCAAGAATCATAAACCCTATATTTGAACAGCTATATAATATTATATATTTATTTTCCCATTTGATGTTGCATTACTTTTTCTACCAATCTTCTTACAATAAATTCATAAATATCTTAATTATAGCAAATGTGAAGTTCTTAAAGATGAGAATCATCAAACATATTTCTATTACAGAGATATATTCTTCAAAAAGTCATCTAAAATAGAAACCCAACTGGGAGACACCTTAAAAGGTTATCTGCCACAACAGAAGCTTTGCTTAAAATACTGTTCTCTTTGTATTTGTGTTAATAATTGATTTGTCTTTGAAATTAAATTAGGAATCTACTATATCTAGTGGTCTTGAAATCAAAGCCCCCTCCCCATTCCTTATCTTCACTGCTGTGTTCAAAAAGACTAGACTCCAGGGACGTGTCCAAAGCTGGGTTAAATATAGGATGCCTGAGAGACACCCTTCTTTCATAGTTCGAGGGTAAGCATGTAGCTGTATGTGTGTGGAGGGGCGGGTGGAGGAGGTTAGCTGTATCAGGGTAGGCATAATACTATATTTTAAATCCCTCCTTCTGTTATAAATGTAAGCTGAAAATAGTCTCTGCTCCCAGCGGCAGCAATCGTAAACTCGCTTAGTTCTGCCTGTAATTTAATTTAATTTAACATGTGACATTGAGACAATGTTTCTTTTAATTCACATATAACTTCTTCCTCACCCACATTCCAGCCAAATAAACACATACTTATAGAAAAATGTGACTGTTTTCCTGGGCATCCCAACAATTCAACTGTCCCTAAAACACCAGGTTCAATTTAAACTCTATTAGCTTGTCTGAGGGCTAAGATATCTAAAAATCCAAGACAAATTATCATTTGCGTATATGGAGGCAGCTCTGATTGAACAGATATCTAAAACGGTTAGGTAATATTTTAGATCAAATCACTCCATCAAGTCAAAGACTAATTCAACTGTTTGTTCAGTTTCCAAAGGAATCCTTCCATTTTGGTCTAGTGTTCCATAAACATTGACTTTACATGAAAAGGACAGTGAAGAGATCTCTTGAACCGGCCAGAAAGTTGAAGCTCAAGGTTGTAGAAGATTTGAGCTACCAAGTCCAAGCCTTCTAAAAGATTCCCAATATGTATATATATCATTTTCCTAACTCTACATTTGCCTGAGAAACAATGACATTCAATAAACTTTTTTCCATGGGATTTAGTTACAAAATAAGTCAAGGAACTACAAGTTATATATTTCCTGGAAAAATATACTATTATATATATATATTATATATTCAAAACTCCGTAAAGCATATAAAGTATAAGCATATACTGAGTTATAAGGCATAACTCAACATGTTATTTTAACCTAAAATTTTCTTAGGGCCTCAATTGCAAATGCTTTAATTGCCAATGGTTCATAAACACATCTGTGAATTAGAAGCAAGTAATATCCTCTGTTTTTATACTCTCAAAAAATGTGATTATACTTAATCAAAAGTAATTCAAACCACAGCCCAGGCAATACATACTAGACCATGTCTTCTTGGTAATTTAATTCTTAGCAATAATTTTAATTGCTGCCTTATTAAGTAGGTATGCTACTTAAATTACAATCCTGTAGTTATAAGGTTAAAACTATTTTAAAATCTCAAATGTTTTTAGATTTCAATCACTCTTCGTATTATTACAACAAAAATGTTCATTAACTGGAACACATGCAGTATCATTTTTTAGCCCCCACTTTATGATATTTTTTAATTTTTATTACCAGAGTAGTCATTTCATTATAAAATTTTAACCAAGCTAAGCATATACTCCATTTTTTAGAAAACTAGATTTACTGTAGTCCTGTTAAGGCTATCATAGTAAGCAATGAATTTCACACTTGTCTTTTATACAGTACAACACATCAAGCAGATATATGAAATCCTTGACAAAAGACATTTAAAACAAACAATTCCATGCTTTATATGTCAAGTGAAAAGGAATATTTTTTCTACAGTGACAGAGCAGACTTGACATGTGCACAATCATGTACAACCAAGCGTTTGCAAATGCTCTTACAACGTGGAGCAACCGGGCCTAGGGACAAGCAACCTTTCAGCTAAGAGTCTCGTCAAAGGTGCGGAAGCCCATTACAGAAGACCAGATAACAGTCAGTCTGACGGGTTCATTCAGATATTCAAGCTTTAAAAAGTACTTTGAAGACTGATACAGATGTCCTAGGCAATAAACTTCCCGAAAAGAATGGGGAACAATCCCAGTGCCAATCACATCTTTGTCATTCAGAAATCCAGGCTAATTTGATTTAGAGACATACATAAATGAACTGTTATTTCTCATAACTGTTTTTTTTCAGCCTCTTTATTTTTAATCTACATCTCTTAGGTAAAATGCATCAATTTAACTACATTTACTTATTCTGAGTTTTTCTATTGGTCCATGTTTCCTTTAAACACAATTTTGAATGGTTTTTTAAAGTAACCATTTGATTTTGAAACCAATTTACAGAAAACATGGAAGAACTACGCTAATATGCTGTATCACCCCTGAATACTTCAATGTACATTTCCTACAACAAAGATGTTCTCCTATATAACCATAATATGATCATCCCAGTCATCATGGATAAAGTTCCAATATTTAATCCCCAATCTTGTTCAAGTTGCACCAATTCCCAATCATGTCCTTTATAACATAAGCATTTAATGCAGAGTAGTATTTAGTTGCCTTGTTTTCTTAGCCTCCGTCAATCTGGAATGCCTCCTTCCTCACTCCACTCAACCTCTGACAACTTGCTATAGGTCACCACCAGTGCTGTCTCCTGTCTCTCCAGGTCCCCACCCTTGCTACACTGTGGATGCTTTCCTTACCCTGCTGGTTTCTGAATGCTCTGCCACGGTCCTGGGCCTCCCCACTTACCCAGCATGGATGCCTAAGCTGAACTGAATGACCTTGGACTGAATTGTTCAAAAAGAGAAGGGGAGAGGAAGAGGAAGAAGAACGCCAAGTAATTTGATTTTTCTTTTTTCATGATCAAACCAATGTCTTGGAATTGATTATCACTTCCATGGGCTACTTATGCTCCGTACTGTTTGTATAGAGTTTGGTGAAAATGAATAAAGGCAACTGAACTACATTTTTTGGTTTTTTTTTTGAGACAGAGTCTCACTCTGTCACCCAGGCTGGAGTGCAGTGGCACGATCTCAGCTCACTGCCTCCTCACAGGCACCTGCCACCATGCCCTGAAATTTTTTCATATTTTTAGTAGAGACGGGGTTTCACCGTGTTGTCCAGCCTGGTTTCGAACTCCCGACCTCAACTGATCCACCCACCTCAGCCTCCCAAAGTGCTGGGATTACAGGTGTGAGCCACCGCGCCTGGCCTGAACTCCATTTTTTATAGAGTACCATTTGACACTAAAATTAAGAGTCTGTTACTCATCTGCAGAATCTCTCTTTAAATGGTATTACTAAAAGGTCCAAAATGAAACATCTGTAAAAATAATTATTCCTACACTCTGTGAGATCTCTTTCCTGACACATTTCACATCTAAGTGAGTTCCCTAACTAACCCACACACACTCTATAGTAGGCTTACCCTTCTTTCCCCAGGCTGGCTGGCGAACTTGCAAAACATAACCATTTAGGGGAAAAAATTGAGGCAATTAAAATTAAAAGTGTTTTAGGCTAAGTAATGAATAAATTAACCCACTGAAAAGTTACATCAAAGGCTATTACTCAGCATTTTACCAGTTACAGGAATTTCTGCAAAATCTGCCCAGCCATTTGTTTGTGTATCCCTGGGATCAGTGCCCAGCGTTCAATCTTTCTCTTGATGCTTCCTGCTGTTTTCAGGGACTCAATGAGAGCAGTAAGTGACCTTTCACTCACTGCAAGTCTATGGGCACTGAAGTTAGGAAAATATTTCCCTTCATGCAGAATCTTCCTAACAAAGCTTTCCCATGTATTTGTCGGGTCAAATAACATTCAGATAAACTGCACATAATCCCCAAAATGCCAAATGTTTAGAGAGCTTTTTTTTTTTGAGACAGAGTTTTGTGTTTTCCTCTTGTTGCCCAGGCTGGAGTGCTATGGTGGGATCTCGGCTCACTGCAACCTCCATCTCCCAGGTTCAAGCGATTCTCCTGCCTCAGCCTCCCGAGAAGCTGGGATTACAGATGCCTGCCACCACGCCCGGCTAATTTTTGTATTTTTAGTAGAGACAGGGTTTCACCATGGTGGCCAAGCTGGTCTCGAACTCCTGACCTCAGGTGATCCACCCACCTCGGCCTCCCAAAGTGCTGGGATTACAGACGCGAGCCACTGTGCCCGGCCTATAGAGCTCTTCCCATGAAGAGCCATTTCATGCCATCATCAACAGGCTGCCTTCGTGGGTGGCCAATGTGCTTCTGGAAAACCAGCTGTGAATAACGTGAGCAACTCATGGTGTCTTCATGAGAAGGAAACTTTTAGATGTCCTTATTGACTTTCTTCTTGGTATTGAAGGTGGTATAATTATTACAGTTACATAGTTTTATCTGGAAGAATTACTTGATCTAAAAGGTAATTTAAAATTAGTAAAATTTATTAGATATGAGGATACTAAGTTTCATCAACGAAAGAAGACTGAAAACACCCACAGTAGTAGTATTGAAATTTTACGTGTCACTCAGCAACTCGCGAGAGTCCCGTCTGGTGCTGAGTCCATTTGGAATATCTGTCCCTGCCCTCCCCTCCTCCAAAAAGAATGTTCACTATAAACGAGAAGAGCTTAATTTCTATGGGCTTTGTAATCCTTCCACTGGATTCCAAGCAAAATAACTACCAATACAACTAATCCTGAGAATAAAAAGTAATCACAACTATGCAACAAAAACAGGAAAGGTGGTGGCAGGGTCTCACTCAGATTTCATTGCTTTGCTTTTCTCCAGGAAGGTCTTTTTGAAGCCCTGTTTATTCAATAGTAAGAGTGACCTCTAGTGACTTTTTTTGTTGTTGTATTTTGCCAGTTGATTGGTCAATTACTCTAGCATGCCTTTCTATAAGTAACTCATTTATATGTTTATTTAAGCCAAACGGCAATTTCCATTACAAGACCCAAGGATTTTGATTTAAGTAACAACGTTTTATTCACAAAGCCTTCTCACAAAAGCAGATTAAAGTTGAATCTGAAACACGGTACAGCATCTGACCAAAGGAATCCGGAGCTTGTTTTTTGGAAGGGCACACCAAGTGTAGGATTAACTGAGGCGCAACTGAATCATGATGCACAGTGAGTTCATGAACCCATGTGCGTGCCCTGTGTGTGAAGAACCAACCCACCCTTGAGCCCGCGGGCAGAACAGCACTGAGCTACGGCAAACTTTTCATGACAGCTTAGGAGAACTGCTGAAAGCTACCCTTGGTTATCCTGCAATAATCTAAATTTCCAAACATGGCCACTGGCGTTTATTGGAACTTATTTCGAAAGAGATTTTGGTAGGAGAGGGCTGAGGCTGACAGCGGGGAGATGCCACTGAAAGAAAAATAAAAGTGATTTGAGAAGGAAGAGGAAGACATTTTAAAAATTCTAATCTCATGGTTTGATTAATCAAGAAAGAAAGACAACTCTCTGATAGAGATTTACTCCAAGCCAAAAAAAAATGTGCAATGTTGTGCAAACATTTTTATGTGTGATAAAATATGGGTACATTATGTTTTGCTCATCTGTCTGGAATATCATCATTACATTAGAATCATAGCCCATTCTAGAAATAAAGGCTTCCTAGGTGTTTACCAAATTAAGGAAAATAAAAAACAGGGAACCTGATGGCAAATTAAATAATGTAAAATATTAGCATCCAGAGAGGAATCATTTTCAAGATCACCTAAATGACTGGCTGAGTTTTGTCTTTAAGCAAGAACTTTCTACTATGAGAAACGAAGCCCCTGACAGGGGTGTTCAAGTGTTATTCCCTTAGTAGTTAGGACAGGTTATTAATTTAGTTTCACCTACAGGCGCTCTGTCCCTATACTGCATGGAAGTTAATTAGCATTTTAACTCTGAAGCTGCCAAGGTCGGCAAAACTGTAAGCTGCTAACATCTAAGTTGATGCAGTATGATGTAATGTCTGCCAGTTTTTTCCCTGTTAGACTTAATTCCTACAAAATATTACAATCCTAAAAAGGAATAAATGACAGCATTTGCAGGCTAATCTCTTATTAAGATGCTTTTCAGGTTTTACAGAAACGTCCACTTTCTCAATGAATATTCAAGTACATCGATTAAAAAGTCAAAACATGCATGGTATATCTTAGACTCCCCCACAAGAGGAAAGTCTATTGTAAACAAAATCGTCTTTTTCGGGTTGCAATTCCAAATTTTTTTTAAGGTTCTTCATGTTCAGGAGCATGTTCTGCAATTCCACTTCCAAATATTACCGATAATAAAAAAAAAAACAAAGTTTTCCAGACAGCCTAGCGCAAGTTTTAAACCATTTGCTGTACTTACGTGGATTTCCTGCTCCCACGGGGCTCCAAGTCTGAGTGGGGAGAAGCAGCAGCACCTTGAGGACGGCCCAGGCCACTGAAGCCATGCTCACTTCAGCCAGGCGCCCTGAGACCCGGGCACGGCGACGGCCGCTCTGCGTCGCTCCTGCTCTCACTCCCGTCCCCTGCGCGGCTCTGACGCTGCTCTGTCTCCCGTGTCCAGTCTCTAGCTCTCTTCCTCACGCACTAGCAGCCTCCCTCGGCGCTGCAGACCCTCCCGCCAAGCCGCGCCCGGCCCCAGCTGCGTCTCCGAGGTCGGCCCCGCGGACTCGCGCCGCAGCTTTCTGGAGCGCTCGGGGCCGCGCGGCGCCACCCCAGGCACGGAGGCGGCAGGTTCAGGCGCGTCCCGGACACTAGGCGCGGGAGGCGGCCGGCAGCAACGCGAGTCAAGAAGCGAGCGGGAGGGACGCCCCAGCTCCGCCTGGCGCTCTCCTCCCGTTATACCTGCAGCTTCCTCCGTCCCTCTCTCCCACCGGGGCGGGGCGGCCGCGGTGCACGGACTCGCGCCAAAGACCGCGCCGTCAGCCTCCGCCTGCAGGTGGAGAACGCCAGGCTTTATCACTGCGCTGTTCACCCAACGCAGGGGCTGCACCCAGGAAAATGCTGTCCTGTTTGAGTTCAAATAGGGAAGATGGGGCAGAAATAACTCTGCGGCGTGTACTCGGGCAGACGCGCGCACACTTTGATTTTGCTAGGAATTCTGACTTGTAGAGAACCAAGCTGGGAAACCGGGCCAGGAGCAGGGAGAGGCCGGTGAGCCTGGGTTGTGCGAGTGCAAGCCTTTATTTAAAGTTTTAATATTTTGTCTATCATGGGTTTTTTTTTTCTTTGCGATTACATTCAATTTTAAAACTATTTCATTCATTCAGGATTAGCGTTACTTAACAGTTGCTCCTGAGACTAGTGCGTTAGTCCCTTCACCCTAGTCCTGGCCTTGGTGGAAGTCTAAAATTTACGTTTTATTCCAGCTTTCTGTCCAAAAGAGCAACCCCTGCAAGTGTAGGATGAGGAGCTCAGTCCAGCAGCAGCTAACACTGCACTCCTTGCGTGCCTACTGTGTGCTAGAGGGAGGGGCGGAGGCAGGGGGCGGGGGGGGTCTTTCTCTTTTTCTCTTCCTCTGCTTCTCAAATTCACAGTAGGGGCAAAGATTGACAAACTCACTCACATTACCACCACCGCGAGTTTCCAAAAAAGAAAAAAGAAAGAAAGATACTTTTTTAGATGGTATCTCTAAGAAATAGTGTATTAATCTTCCCTTTGGAAAGACAACTTTGAAAGGCTTTTTCATTAAAATGAATTCAAATGTAATAGATGTAAAATGTAAAATGAATTCAAATGTAATAGATGAAGAATCTTACAAAGTCATTCTTGAATTATTAATTGGGTTCACTTAAACTACTTTTGCACAAGAACTCTGTAAATAGCACGTCTTTTATTACAGAAAAAATTATAAATCTAAAGTTTTGATTGACAGATCAGTTGCCTTCAGTGAGACAGAAAGAGAGAAAATGGAAATCATTTTCTAAATTGGACCTAGAGTAAAACAACAAATGTCAATCTATTATTATACCAATTTGTCAGGCATCAGATGGAGTCTTTAAAAATGTGAACTTGGCCGGGTGCAGTGGCTCATGCCTGTAATCTCAGCACTTTGGGAGGCGGAGGAGGCCAAGAGGTCAGGAGATGGAGCCCATCCTGGCCAACACGGTGAAACCCTGTCTCTATTAAAATACAAAAAATTAACCGGGCGTGGTGGTGCCTGCCTGTAGTCCCAGCTACTCGGGAGGCTGAGGCAGGAGAATTGCTTGAACCCGGGAGGCAGAGGTTGCAGCAAGCCAACATTGCACCCTGCACTCCAGCTTGGCGACAGAGCCAGACTCCGTCTCAAGACAAAAAAAAAAAAAAGTGAACTTGGGTGTTCAAAGTGTTAGGCTTAATGGAGAAAGGCCAAGAAACTTCTACGGTGGTAGACATTTGCAATTAAAACAAAATGGCTTCATTAAACTGTAAAATCACTAGCGTAGTGAGGGTGCATGCATTTTTTACAACATTGGAGGAATATATTTATGAATATTATTCCCAATACATAAAATATACATTTTACACACTTATAGGTACACTCAAAATTTGTTCCAAATTGTTCATGTCTAGTAAATGTATATACACTATTTTATATGGTTAAGCCAATAAGCATCAGCATTTTCTTCTAAGACAGGAGGCTTGTAATTGTTTTGATTCCCCTGCTTTTGACTTAAAACTTATTTAGGTTTATTCTACTTAAGTTGTTTGGTTAGGGGACTTGAAGTCCTTAAACATAAATGTGTGTCTTGAAATGCATTTTATGTGGCTATACTTGCTGCTATATGGTTATTATTTAAATCAGCATAGACACTTGCTGTGGTGATAATGCTGGCAATGAACTTTGCAGACTAAGAGTAGTGAGGCTCTAAAAATTACTTTGCCTAGTAGAGAAGCATCCGTCACAATCATCACACACTACACACTTACTGAACAAATGAAGACATGAATTCGAGATGGCCGATGTAACTAGAACACTGGATGTCCCAGAAAAAATATCGAATATCACAAATATAAATGTTTTATGTGTTGCTGCTTTATTTCCTTTCTTCCCTACTTTCCATGATAATGCAATTTAAACTTTGAAACTTCTTACCTTCTATTTAACCTTAACATGGATAATAAATACAATTATATTTTTTATTTCAATCTGGATAATGGTTGTATGATTCAACCAGAATAAGAAAGGAATAAGATCTACTTTGCAATAGCACATATTTAGGAAGTGAGTATATTTATATTGGAACAAATGATGATACTGAGGTGTGTTTGATGACTAGCTTCTGGATTATAAGAATGTAAATGTTTGTTAAGACAGACTCTTTTGAAATTTGTTCTTGAATATTTTGAATTACAAAAGGAACATTTTTAAAAGAATTGTATAAAGAAAATGTTAATAATTGCCACTACCATCACCCCAACCCCACTGAGGTAACCAATGATACAAAACAGGCTGACAGGCTGGTATGTATCCTTATGTATCCTTGTTTTGGCTCTTCTTCTTCTTTTTTTTTTTGAGACAGAGTCTCGCTCTGTCGCCTAGACTGGAGTGCAGTAGTGGTGTGATCTTCGCTCACTGCAACCTCTGCCTCCCAGGTTCAAGCAATTCTTGTGCCTCAGCCTCCTGAGAAGCTGGGAGAACAAGTGAGTGCCACCACACCCGGCTAAGTTTTTGTATTTTTGGTAGGGACAAGGTTTTTCCATGTTGCCCAGGCTGGTCTCGAACTTCCTGAGCTCAAGTGATCCACCCGCCTTGGCCTCCCAAAGTCTTGAGATTACAGGCGTGAGCCATCACACCCGGCCTTGGCTCTTATATATAAACACATACAACCTGTACATAGAGTTGTGCTTATTTTGTTTCAATAAGGTTTTACCTTGTACTTTATACTCTCATCCTGCAATTTTATCGTCTCTCTTTGTAGTATACCGTGTGCATTGCAGTCTAAGCTAGAACTTAGTTTTCAGTTCTAGAAAATAGAGTGAGAATACAAAAATATAACATTTGCCTGCCAATCTAATAGCATTTTAATTCCTAAATAGATCTACTTTCACAAATATGCTACTTCTCAAAGAATTATTTTTCTTATGATATTTTTCTAAGCAATGCAATGTGATATTAGTCAGATTTTTAAAATGCACTACTGCATTAGTCAAGGCCCAGAAAGAAAGCATGATTTGCTCAGATAGTTTAAAGGGACAGGCTGAAAAGAAAAGTGAAGGGACCCACCAGGTGACATTGTGGCAACCAAAGACAAGCACTAGCAGAAAGCCTTTACTACCTACAGCAGAGGCGCAGAGGGAGGAACGGTTGCTGCCAGATCCCCAGAAGGCAGCAGCCGGGGAACACAAAGGTCTGGCAGGAGCCACAGTCATAGAAGTAAAAGAATTTTCTTGTCAGAACCTGGAAACAGGAGTGAGTAGGGAAGAAACTTTTTGAGCTCTGACTTCTGAAACCTTACTGTTTCTGTGGGTGTCTCTCATTAGCCAAAACCAACTGGAAGTCAGCTGGGAGGGGAGCAAGGTGACACTCGAGCAGGAAGGGTGACACTCGGGCAGGAAGGGTGACACTGGGGCTGGAAGAGTAGAGGGTGGTTCTGAGGACCTCCACAAAGAATGGCCAGCACATCCTAGAACACTGACACTTACCAAATTTTTAAAAAAAGTTTATTTTTGTTTTGTGCATTCATGTTCTTTTATGAATGATTTATCAAGTAATGGCTTGGAATAGAAATCTAAAGCTTTTATTTTTTAAATTGTGAACCGAAGTAATCGTACTTGCTAGAAATTAAACCAGAGCTTTGAGGTCAAATAGTTTACTCTTTCTTCTGTTTATATTAACAGGGAAGATTAATTGTGCCGAATATCGTAGTTTTGAATGGAGCTTTTTATTAACTTCAACATCAGGAAATCACCAGAGTCCACCTACCTTTCCTTATTTTTCACAGAAATAGAAAGATTGATGTTCTCATAGAGCAAAAAAGATGAGGTCTCACTTCTTGTGGCCTTCTGACATCCATCAATATTTTAGGAAAACAATTCTCACATTTCAGGGCCAATTGGGAATTAAGTTGAGCTCAAATACAAAGGGAAATATTTTTTATTAAAACTTTTTTTGTGCGAAATGAATTATAAATTTTATAAATTTTTTTGTGAAATGAATCAGCTAGCCTAAAATTTAATCCTTCCAAACTACAGTAGGTTAAAAAAAACAAGTGAATGGTAAACAAGTTGAAATTTTCTTTCCAGTTTCTTATCACTGGCTAATTGGGAAGAATTGAAAAGTCAGAAGAGGAGAAAATTATAATCAATGCCTACTCCATTAAAAAATTGCTTAACTGTTTTATTGAAATTGATTCTATAGAGAGCCCCTGATTGCATATTTGATAAGGAACATTAATGCTAATACATGAAATACCCTATGTGCTCACGTATGAAAGAAACATTCTTGGCTGGGTGCGGTGGCTCATGCCTGTAATCCCAGAACTTTGGGAGGCCGAGGTGGGCGGATCACGAGGTCAGGAAATCGAGACCATCCTGGCTAACATGGTGAAACCTCATCTCCACTAAAAATACAAAAAATTAGCCGGATATAGTAGTGAGTGCCTGTAGTCCCAGCTACTTGGGAGGCTGAGGCAGGAGAATCGCTTGAACCCCGGAGGCGGAGCTTGTAGTGAGCCGAGATCACGCCACTGCACTCCAGCCTGGGTGAAAGAGCAAGACTCTGTCTCAAAAAAAAAAAAAAAAAAAAAAAAAAGAAAGAAACAAAGAAAGCATTCTCCCACATATTTTCGTTTATATAAAAAGATAAGTCTCACCCTAAATCTATGTTAAACTTATAGAAAGAACAGGTAGTCACAGTTAGAATGTGATTTTAGGGGCTAGGAAATCAACCCCAGACTTCAGCAAATCAATGTTCTACCACTGAAGTGTGCTAATATTTAGTATGAAACCGCTTACGGATTTCAGATCTTTTCCTGAAAGCAAACTTTAATATAGCAGAAGTCATCTGGATTTGGGCTGGAGATGGGGAGAATGAGAGGAGGCAAGTACTATAAGGGGTGGAGTGTAGGGGTAGGAGAGAGTAAAGAAAGGCATTAATTAAATGTCAGAAGTGAATTTATTCATTTTGTAGTTTTATCTAAACTGAAAACTGATCCTTGCTTGAATGGCTTGATAGAGAATGCGTCTCTCATGGGGCAAGGATAAAGCTATAATTATAAAACTTCAAGCTTAAAATAATGGGACTCAATGTTTGGGGCATCTTTTTAACTCCGCTAATCTAAGGATATGAGAAAATACTGTTCCTATTTAAGGAGCAAAAATTGGTAGATACGTGTTTGGGAGAATTTTTGATTTGCCAGCATTTGTGTTTCAGAACACTAAACAGCCTCATGGCAAGCCTGAATTTCTGAATATAATGAAGCAGAGACTGTTTTGTCTTGAGTAGATCCAGTTCGTGAAGGCTCAGGGGAACAGCACGCTTCATGCCTGCCAGCAGATGAGCTTCGAAGTGCCTTAAGGAAGCACTTTGACCAGAAGGTAGATAACTCTTATTATAGAAGAAGAAGGAGTGTGTAATTCATCTCCTACCGGTAAGAATAGTTATTGCTTTTGCAAACACTGTAAATGTGCAATCTAGAAGCTAGAAATAAGTACGCAGTTAGAAGGCAGTCTTTTTTTTCATATGTAGTGAAACTACTACACTTTCTGCAGTGGCAAATCTTAGCAGAGATTGTAAATCTAAGCAGAGAGGTATCCAGGATTGTGGTAGTCTACACTGAGTATGCCTACATGATGGTAGAGAAAAAAAAATGAAGATTACATGCAGGATAGCTCCCTAAGAATATCAGATAAGAACTTCTGCAGAACAACTTGTTATGCACCTTCTGGTCCAAATTTTCAAAGAAACTGCTGCCGGGTATAAGGATACAAAAAAAGAGAGAGAGAAAGGGAGAAAACAAACAAACAAAAATGACCCTGAAGTGATAACATATTTGGCTGCACTTGTTATTTAGGAAAGTCTGTGACTCAGAAATGAGATGGTCTGGAGGGAGACTTTAGAAACAATAGCAAGACACGAAAGTTCTCTCGAAACCTTGGATCCCATTTTTCATAATAAACAGAATTATGTCTTTTTTGATTAGCTTGTGAAAATTATCTGAGAATAATTTATGAGAAGTTCCCACTGCTATAATATACTGAGTTCAATAAATTATTCATATTTTATTTTCATTAATTAAAATAAACCCAAATCCTATTAAGAACTTTTTCAAAGACTGATAACCATGACTACAAAATGCTTTGTTGTCACATTTCTTTTCATGCCATAAATTAAATAGACTCTTCTTTGTCTCTAAAGGCTTTTTAAACATATTATGTTTCCCAGGAAAGGCTGCAGTTAAATGTTGGCATTTTGTCCTTATGTTCCTATAGTTTCCTGTTGTAGCAGTGTAGAATGAAGTTATGCCAGAATAATTTCCACATAAATATTGAATAAAGTGGACTTTTCATGGTTCAAAGAGTTTTGTGCCAATATGTTTCTTTTCTTAAGCGTTCAATGTAAATTTATGAAATTTTAATATTCTCTCATAAACACCTAAGTGTAGTTGCCATTAAATAC
Organism: Homo sapiens; assembly: GCF_000001405.40. NCBI lineage: Eukaryota > Metazoa > Chordata > Mammalia > Primates > Hominidae > Homo > Homo sapiens. Next base: position 61,323,816 of record NC_000009.12, on the reverse strand, counting down.
AGATTCACATTCATGTTAGAACTGCTATTTTTTTGTTTCATATGATTTGTTCTTTATTTTTTTTTTTTGAGAAGGAGGCTTGCTTTGTCACCCAGGCTGGAGTGCAGTGGCGCCATCTGGGATCATTGCAAGCTCTGCCTCCCGGGTTCAGGCCATTCTCCTGCCTCAGCCTGCCGAGTAGCTGGGACTACGGGCGCCCGCCACCACGCCCGGCTAAGAGAGTGTGTGTGTGTGTGTGTGTGTGTGTGTGTGTGTGTGACTACAGGCGCCCGCCACCACGCCCGGCTGAGAGTGTGTGTGTGTGTGTGTGTGTGTGTGTGTGTGTGTGTGTGTGTATTTTTTTTGAGACGGAGTCTCGCTCTGTCATCCAGGCTGGAGTGCAGTGGTGCGATCTCAGCTCACTGCAAGCTCCGCCTCCCGGGTTCACGCCATTCTCCTGCCTCAGCGTCCAGAGTAGCTGGGACTACAAGCGCCCACCACCGCGCCCGGCCAATTTTTTTTTATTTTTAGTAGAGACGGGGTTTCACCGTAGCCAGGATGCTCTCGATCTCCTGACCTCGTGATCCGCCCACCTCGGCCTCCCAAAGTGTTGGGATTACAGGCGTGAGCCTCCACACCCCGCCGGCAAATAAATTTTAAAGCCCTACATTCTTGGGCAAATTTTACCCTTAAACAAAAATTCAGCCAATTGTACTAATCCAATAAAGAGCCATTTTAGGGAGCCTAAAGTTTTTTTATGAAAGCTCTAGTTGAATCACATATCAAAGTACTGGTCTATTAGGTTTCTTTTTTTCAGATATAAGTTAATTTTGATGTATTTTATTTGCTCTTTAAAAAATCACACTTTTGAGGCTGCGTGCGGTGGCTCATGCCTGTAATGCTGGCATTTTGGGAAGCCAAGGCAGGCGGATCACTTGAGGTTAGGAGTTCGAGACCAGACTGGCCAACATGGTGAAACCCCTTCTCCACAAAAAATACAAAAATTAGCCAGGCGTGGTGGTGCATGCCTGTAATCCCAGCTCCTTGGGAGGCTAGGGCATGAGAATCACTTGAACCCAGGAAGCAGGGGTTGCAGTGAGCCGAGATCGCACCACTGCACTCCAGCCTGGGCAGCAGAGTGAGACTTTCTCAAAAACAAACAAACAAAAAGTCACCATTTTGAATGCTTAGACACTACTGGTGGACATGTAAATTAGTTCAGTCAGTGTCAAAAGCAGTTTGGTGATTTCTCAAAGAACTCAAAACAGAATTACTATTCTACCCAGTAATGAGAATGGTAGACCTAGGCATGTGTATGTTCATTGCAGCACTATTCACAATAGCAAAGACATGGGATCAACCTAAATGCCCATCAATGGTAGACTGAATAAAGAAAATGTGGTGCATAGGCCCGGCGCGGTGGCTCACGCCTGTAATCCCAGCACTCTGGGAGGTGGAGGCCGGTGGATCACGAGGTCAGGAGATGGGGACCATCCTGGCTAACACGGTGAAACCCCGTCTCAATTTAAAATACAAAACATTAGCCGGGCGTGGTGGTGGGCGCCTGTAGTCCCAGCTACTCGGAAGGCTGAGGCAGGAGAAGGGCGTGAACCCCAGAGGCGGAGTTTGCAGTGAGCCGAGATCGCACCACTGCACTCCAGCCCGGGTGACAGAGCAAGACTCCCGCTCGAAAAAAAAAAAAAGAAAGAAAGAAAATGTGGTGCATGTACACCACAGAATATACTACACAACCATAAAAAAGAACGGGATCATGTCCTTTGCAGCAACATGGATGGAGCTGGAGGCCATTATACGAAGCAAACAAACACAGGAACAGGAAACCAAATGCCGCATGTTCTCACTTATGAGTGGGAGCAAAACACTGAGTACATATGGACACAAAGAAGGGAACAACAGGCACTGGGGCCTACTTGAGGGTAAAGGGAGGGAAGACGGTGACAACTGAGAAACTACCTATCTAGTACTGTGCTTATTACCTGGGTGGCAAAATAATGTGTACACCAAACCCCCATGATGTGTAATTTACCTAACAAATCAGCACATGTACCCCGAACCTAAAATAAAAGTTAAAAAATAATAACAATAATCACCCTTTAAACCTATCTTTCAACATTTAAAGTTTGCAAAGGCAAAGTTTTATTCACCTATGGAACATGGTTTACTAACTGAGCAACTCTGGGCAAGTACTCTCTTGGCCTCTTAAGTGGGGATAATAACAGGGCATGCCTCCAAATCTTCCTGTGAACATTAAGTGAATGGATACGTACTGGACACTCAGAAAAATGCTTGGGTTGTAGTGATATTTAAGTGCCATTATAATGGCAGCATTGTACGAACAGAAATTAAAAACTTCAAAGTACATGTGAAAAAATATTTTTAAAAAATCTAATCATTGTATGATATAACTAGAAATTTTATTTAAGTACTTAAAGTAAGAATATTTCTACTTAAAATTCTAGATGCAGTGAAAAAAACATTAAAAAATGAAAATAAAGACATTTTTCAGACTTAGAAAACCTGAAATAATTCATCTCCAACATAGCCACTTTACAATAAATGTTAAAGAAAGTTTTTAGGCAGAAGAAAATTGAAAAACTGATACTAGATGGAAATATAAATGCATACAAAGGACTGTGGGACACTGGACATGGTAACTACATGAATAAAACTCTGGAATGTTTTTCTTATTATTTAAGTATTTTTAAAATATAATTGTTTAAGTAACAGTAATAACAATATAGCATGAGGTTTATAACACATGTAGAAGTCAAATTTATGGCAGTGATGGCACAATGCCTATGAGGAGAAAAATGGAAGTATGCTATTCAAAAATTTTATATGTGAAGTAATATACTATAACTTGAATATACACTGTGAAAAGTTAAAAATATATGCTACATACCCTAAACCAACCACTAAAATATGCCAACAAAGAGTAAAGGCTGATAAGCCAATCAAAGAGATAAGATGAAATTCTTAAAGAAATTCTCAATTATCCTTTAAAAAGGGCTAAAAAAGAGAAAAAGTAACAAAGCACAGAGGGAACAAATGAAAAACCATTTTAAGAAAATAAACTTAAATCTAACCATATTAATAATCACATTAGTATCAATTGCCCAAAAACTCTAACATTGACAGATTAGATTCAAAGAAAGCAAAAGCTAACAGTATTCTGCCTCCAAAAAAACATACTTTAAATGGAAAAACACAAGTAAAAAGACGAAAAAATATATAATAAACACTACCTCAAAGAAATCTGGAGTGACTATAGTAGTATCACACAAAGTAAATTTCAGTTGAATGGGTATTACTAGAGATAAAGTCATTTCAAAATAACGAAAGGGTCAGTTTGTCAAGAGAAATAAAAAACCTAAATGTTTATATAACAAATCATGTACATTCAATATACATGAAGCAAAATATAAAGATTATAAGAAAAATAAACATTTTTCTTTCCACAATTACAGTTAGATTTTTGTTTGTTTGTTTTGAGACTGAGTTTCACTCTTGTTCCCCAGGCTGGAGTGCAATGGTGCGATCTCGCCTCACTGCAACCTCCGCCTCCCAGGTTCAAGCGATTCTCTTGCCTCAGCCTCCTGAGTAGCTGAGATTACAGGCACCCACCACCACGCCCAGCTAATTTTTTGTATTTTTGGTAGAGATGGGGTTTCACTATGTTGGCCGGGCTGGTCTTGAACTCCCGACCTCAGATGATCCACCTACCTCAGCCACCCAAAGTGCTGGGATTACAGGCATGAGCCACCACGCCTGGCCTAGTCAGACATTTTTATACCCCTATATCAAAAACTTCTACAACAAGAAGACAAAAATTCAGTAAGAGTGTAAAAGATTTGACCAACATTACCACTTGACCTAATTGACATGTATAGAAAATTTCAAATACCAACTGTCAGATACACATTTTTTTTAAATGTACACAGAATATTTACCTAGAAAAAAACATATGCTGGGGCATAAAATTAATCTCAGTGATGTCAGAAAAATGGCAGACTAGAAAACTTTAGAACTTTGTCCCCCATGGAAACATTAAAGAAAAAACTACAAATTGGTTAAACTGACATTTAGGAACTATGGAAAACAGCTCAAGGTTTACAGAAAACACATGAACATCCAAACAAAACGGAGCCACATCCAAAGCAGTAGAAAATTGTGTGGCATTTTTACTTGGCTTTGCCACATCCCATCCCTGGAACTGCACAGAATGGTCTTAGGAAAGTGATAGCTGAGCTTCCAATTCCTTCCCTGGAACTGGAAGGGTAAACCAGACTTTATTTGAAATGTTCTAACCTGTCTGGGAGCTCCATGTTGGATTAGTCTCTGTTGTTTCTAACTCATAGGTCAGACAGCAAAGATCAGAACAGCTCATATCTCAGGCTATGAAAACCAATGAGAGACAACAGACATAGCTCGTGAATGCTGCTGTGAGATGCAGGATAGACCTGCAAATGCCTGGAGCATGAGATTACAGATAGAGGAATAAAATAGAATATTCTTGACTCTGAGAAGAAGCAGGGCTATGACCCCTAGGGAAATTAAGACATTTTCTAAAAGGCTGTATACACAAGGAAAAAATAAATAAAAGCACACACAGGCCCAGAGAAAATGAAGTCTGATAAAAGACCACAGAAGATGAAAGCCTTCAGACCAGGCTGATCTAAGTCAAAGAACATGCCCTTCTAATTATTGAAGAGCTTTTCCTACACAGACTCAGTCTGCAAACATTGGGAGAGGAAATGCCTTTTTTTCTAAATGCCCCATTTTCCACAATAACAATAACAATAACAATAACAAATTACAAGGTGTTCAAAGAGACAAGAAAGCCATGGCCCAATCAAAGAAGAAAATACAGCTGCAGAAACTGTCCCTGAAGAAACATTGACATTTGAAATACTAGACAAAGACTTTTAAACAACTATCTTATGCTCAGGGAGCTAAAGAAAAACATAGACAAATAACTAAAAAGTGAAGAAAATAATATATGAACAAAAGGAGAATATCAACAAAGAGACAGAAATTATTTTAAAAGAACCAACAAGAAATTCTGGAGATGAAAAATACGGTAAGTGAATTGAAAAATTTATGAGACAGCTTTAACAGAAGACTTTAGCAGGCAGTGGAAAGAAGCAGCAAACAAAAAGAAAGATTATTTAAAAGTAGTGAGTCTAAGGACCAAAAAGGAAAAAAAAAAAAAAAGAAGTGAATAGAGTCTAAGGTATTTAAGAGTCACCATTGAGTAGTCCAATTATTCATTACAGAAGTTCCAGAAACAGAAGAGAGAAAGGAGGCAGTGATTTATATGACAACATAAGTGTCAGAGGCGTTCAAACCAGAGCGACTCCATTTTGAGTGAGGGCTAGGAAAATGAGGCAGAGACTTGCTGGACTGCATTCTCAGAAAATTAGGCATTTTCCTAGCTTCTAGATGTTTATGAATCAGTGAACAAATTAATGATGCTTACTAAAACAGACCCAGACTTGGGAGTGTCCAGATATCTCAATATCTGGAGAATAAGGGCATTCCTAATTTTGCATTAAAGATAATAATATTGATTCTTGCAAAATATGGTAATTAAGAAAATTAATCCTTTATCAAAAACTCTTGTAGGAGAGCACATCTCCCCATATATGCAACCATCGTACCTAGGATGGATGTGTTCTTCCTCTCACTTTCAGGAATGTCCTACTCTGTCTATGGAGTAGCTGTTCTTTCACCACTTGCTTTTACTTTGCACTGTGGACTCGCCCTGAATTCTTTATCGTGTAAGCTCTAAGAACCCTCTCTTGGGGTCTGTATCGGGACTCCTTTCTGGTAACATAAGGATCAAAAATTTCCCAAATTTTTAAGACATGTATATGCAAATCCAAGAATCTCAATGAACTCCAAGTATGATAAAACAAAAGGAGTGTAGGCAGAGGAACAAAATTGTCAACTGGAAATTTTATAATTAGCAAAACTGTCCTTCAAACATGAGAGGAAAACCTTCTGGTTCTAAACCAGTATGTAAGGAGCTTGATAGTCATACTTTATCCTAACAACTAGTAAAAAGTTGAACAAACAAAAAACTCAACACCTCTTCTCAGATCTGTCATGGAAATGAGATCAGAGAGCAAACCAAGGACCCCCAAATTGGAGAGACAGACAGGCAGATACATAGAAGCAAAACTTAACTCATGCAGAAATGATGAGCAGAAATCTCCATAAGACCCAGTGCTGGGTTGGGCATAGTGGCTCACGCCTGTAATCCCAGCACTTTGGGAGGCCGAGGTGGGCAGATCACCTGAGGTCAGGAGTTCAAGACCAGCCTGGCCAACACGGTGAAACCCCATCTCTACTAAAAATACCAAAATTAGCTGGGCATGTTGGCAGGAACCTGTAATCCCAGCTATTCAAGAGGCTGAGGCAGGAGAATTGCTTAAAGCCGGGAGGTGGAGATTGCAGTGAGGCAAGATCATGTCATTGTACTCCAGCTTGTGCAACAGAGCAAAACTCCACCAAAGAAAAAACAAAAAACAAAAAAACACACACAAAAAAATCACCAGTGCTGAAGTAGAAAAACCTGAAACTGTAATTAACAAATTGCTGGAGCTCAATGTGAACAACTCTGAAAGTTAAAAACTTCAAGTGGGTACACTCATTGAAGGTCTCCATACTATTGTGAATTATGCCTCCAGAAACTCTACTAGGTTCTCAGTGAATGTTGGAAAAAATGTCCTCATGCTTCTGGCAGGAGGAAGGGGAAAGGAACCATTTGGAAACATGCTGGAGTATTCAGTTCTTTTTCACAAGACCTGCACCAGGAGAAACTATTTTACTAGGGCCTAATCTGCTGGGGTTTTATCAGAGCCTACTATATGTGACAGAAGGAAAATACTCAACTGGCTGTAGCCTTCCACATGCACAAAAGGGAATAAATAACTCCATCTCCTTCTGGCCTTTCATGTGGGGGAAGAGAAACACTCAACTACAATCCCTTTTAGATTTCCACATGGAAAAAGGGAAATATACAACTTCATCCTCCCTTCAGCCATTATGTCTCATCTAAAGTCGGGGAGGAACTGAGAAGCACTGATGAAGTTCACAGTCAAGGGGCACAGTCTCACCAAAAGACTGAGCCCTAATCATAGGACTATAGAATGCTCCCCTTCCCCTTACACTCTATCACTACATTACTAAAGGCCTATTTACTATAGCTGCTTTTACTTAGTACATTGTGTTCACTTTTCAACAAAAAAAATTCCAAGATAGACTGAAATGCAAAGAAAAAAACAGTTTCAAAAGTATGAACAAGCATCATAAGCAGAGTCAAGTATGGCAGGAATGTTGGAATTATCAAAGCAGATATTTTAAATAATTGTGATTAATGTGCTAAGGACTCTAGTAAACAGACAACATGCAAGAACAGATGAATTATGTAAACAGAGAGATGGGGATACAAAGAAAAAAATCAAAAAAGAAGTGCTGGAGATCAAAGACATTGTAATAGACATAAAGAAGGGCTTTGATGGGCTCATTAATAGACTGGACATAGCCAAAAAAGAATCTTTGAGTTTGATGATATGAAAATAGAAATTTCCAAAACTAAAGAGCAAGGAAAAAAATTACTCAGTAAAAACAGAATAGAATATCAAAGAACTGTAACAAAACTACAAAAGGAGTTAATACATATATTGGGAATTTTAAAAGGACAGGAAAGAGAGAAAAAAATGGAAGCAATATTTGAAACAATAATGACTGAAAATTCCTTCCAAACTAGTGTCAGACACCAAACCAGAGATCAAGAAAGCTCAGAGTACACCAAACAGGATACATGAAAAGAAAAATTACACCTAGGCATTTCATATTCAACTTCAGAAAATCAAAAATAAGAAAAAAAAAGTCTTGAAAGAAGCCAGAGAGGAAAAATACCTTACATATAAAGGAGCAAAAATAAGAATTACTTCTTAAATTTTCTTAGAAACCATGCAAGCAAGAAGAGTGAGGTTGAGAGAAAAACCACCAGCCTAGATTTCTGCACCCTGTACAATTATCCTTCAAAAGTAATAAGAACTAAAGTTCTTCTCAGACAAACAAAACCTGAAGGCATTGTTACTGGTAGACCTACCTTGCAAGAAATGTTAACGGAAGTTCAGAAAGAAAATGATGTAGGTCAGACACTCCAATCTACATAAATAAAAGAAGAGAGTCAATGAATTAATAAGTAAAAGTAAAGTAAAACATTCTTTTTTTGTTCTTAATTGATCAAAGACATAATAGTTTGTTCAAAATAATAACAGCAACAATATATGGTTATGTATGCATATATATATGCTTTTGTATACTTTTGTAGACATGAAGTGAGAGATAGCAATGATAAAAGGGAAAGGAAGGAAGAATTAGGAATATTGTGTTATTAATATATCTTCTACCTGTGAAGTGGTATAGTGTCATTTGAAAGTGTACTTGGATTAGTTGTAAAAATATACTGCGAACTCTAGGACTAATGTTTTAAAACTTTAAAAAAGTATAATTGATATGCTAAGGGAGGAGAGAAAATGAAATTATATAAAGTGCTCAATTAAAACACAAAAAGTAGAAAACTATGCGCGACAAAAATAACTAAGAGCAAGGACGGCAAAGAAAAATCATTAACACAGATGGTACATATTAATTGCTATATCAATAATCATCTTAACTGTCAATGGTCTAAAACACACCAATTAAAATACAGAGACTGTCATAGTAAATCAAAAAACAAGACCCAGCTGTCTACAAGAAGCTCATTTTAAATTTGAAGACTCATAGAGATAAAAATTAAGGGGATGGAAAAGATACTGAGGTAAATTATAAAGGGTGGTCATAGCCTCCCTTAAAGGAGAACAAACTTGCTAAATAGATGGAGAGAATAAACTACCCGACAGTGCACAAACCACATCATGGGCTCAGGATTAGAACATCCTGCAGCAAGGAGGTAGAAAAATAGAAGGGAGAATTCCCAAATTCACACAAGCACAGAAACCCATGATTAGTGTCCTTGGACTGACCTATATTCACTATAATAGTAAAAGAAAAACACCCCTGGGTGGAGATTTAAGATGCTAATGATACATGCAATGTTAAGTCCTAGCATGTACAACCACAGCACCTGTGCAGCCAGGGGACTACCCATAACATACTCATCAGAACACCCCTTCCCACCCCTCCATGAATAATCATGTAAATCTCCCATAAAGGGCGATCCCCCTGCATCAGACAGGGCTGTCTCACCTTTGAGCAGCCTGCTCTGATCAGCTGTCAGAGTGTACTTTTGCTTTGCAATAAACTCTTTTGCTTACTGTTACTTTGGACTCGTTCTCAAAGTTTTTTGTGCAGCAAAGTCAAGAACCTGAAACAGCCCACTGGCAACAATAGCATGCTAACAGTAATCCAAAGAAAGCAGGAGTAGCTCTATTAATGACACATCCCACTTCAGAACAAGAAGAATTATCAGAAATAAAGAGAGTAATTACATAATAAAAATGCGGTCAGTTCTCCAAGAAGACATAACAATCCTTAGTGTTTACACACCTAAAAACAGAGCATCACTATATGTTAGGCAAAAACTAATAGAACTTCAAGGAAAAATAGATGAATTTACTACTGTACTTTGAGACTTTAACATCTCTCTACTAGTAATTAGCAGATTAAGCAGGCAAAAAATTAGGGAAGACATATTATAATTCAAGTCAGCAGTGACATTAATCCAATTGACATGTGTAGAATAATTCACCCAACAGCAGAATACACATGCTTCTGAAGCTCCCATGGAATGTTCACAAAGACACATCACTATCTAGGCCATTAAAAAGCAACTTATTTAAAAGCATGTAAGTCATGCAAATTATGCTCTATGACTACAGTGAAATTAAGCTAGAAATCAAATTCAGCAAGATGACTGGAAAACATTAAAATACATGAAGGCGTAACATCACACTTCTAAATAAAAAATGGATCAAGGAAGTCTCAAGAGGAATTGTAAAATATTTTGAACTAAATGAAAATGAAAATACAACTTTAAATTTGAAGACCCATAGAGATAAAAATTAAGGGGATGGAAAAGCTACTGCGGTAAGTTATAGAGGGTGGTTATAGCTTTTCATTTTCGCTTACATCTCACGGAAGTGTGTGAAATGCAGTAAAACAATGCTTAGACCAAAATTATAGCATTGAATGTACATGTTGCATCCCAAGGAGGGTCTAAAATTAATAATCTAACTTTTCACCTTAGGAAGCTAGTAAAGGAAGAACAAATTAGACTCGAAATAAGGAGAAGAAAAATATAAAAATCAATAAAATTGAAGACAGAAAAATCAATAGAAAAAAATCAACAAATAAAAATCTGATTCTTTGAAAAGATAAATAAAATTGGTAAATCTCTATCCAGAGTAAGAGAGAAAAAGAATACAAATTATTGATATCAACATTTAAAGAAGAACCACCTCTATAGATACTATGGACATTAAAACATTTAAAAAAATAAAGAAATATTATTAACAACTTCATAAGTTTGATAAACGACATAAAATGCAGCACTTTTTTGAAATATACAATCTACTAAAATTCACACCAGGAGAAAAAGACAATCTGAGTTGTCCTATATCTATCAAAGGAACTGAATCAATAATTAATAAGCTGATAAAATAGAAAGTACCAAGCCCCAGAGAGTTCTCTGGTAAATTCTAACACTTAAAAGAAAAATTATAACAATTCTCCAGAATCTTTTCCAAAAAATAGAAGCATACAGAATGCTTCCCTAGTTATTCTATGAGGTCATTATTACCATACACCAAAACCAAAGACATTACAAGAAAGAAAAAACAAAGAGCACTATCTTTCATTAAGCAAAAATCCTGAACAAAGTATTAGCAAATTGGATCCAATAATGTGTAAAAAGATGATGAAGTGGACCTTATCCTAATTATGAAAGGCTAGTTCAACAATTGAAAATAAACTGATATATTTCATCACATTAACAAGAAAAAGAAAAAAAACAAGATCACATCACCAGATGCAGAAAAACATTTGACAAAATCCAACATCCATTAACGATAACTCTCGGCAAATTAGGAATAGAGGGAAACTTCCTCAAAGTGACAATGTCTATAGGAAACCTACAGCTAACATCATATTCCCTGGTAAGAAGTTAGATGCTTTCCTGGTAAGATGAAAAACAAGGCAAGAATGCCTGCTCGGCCGGGCGCGGTGGCTCCCGCCTGTAATCCCAGCACTTTGGGAGGCCGAGGCGGGCGGATCACGAGGTCAGGAGATCGAGACCATCCCGGCTAAAACGGTGAAACCCCGTCTCTACTAAAAATACAAAAAATTAGCCGGGCGTAGTGTCGGGCGCCTGTAGTCCCAGCTACTTGGGAGGCTGAGGCAGGAGAATGGCGTGAATCCGGGAGGCGGAGCTTGCAGTGAGCCGAGATCCCGCCACTGCACTCCAGCCTGGGCGACAGAGCGAGACTCCGTCTCAAAAAAAAAAAAAAAAAAAAAAAAAGAATGCCTGCTCTCACCTTACTCAACATCATACTGAGGGTCCTAGCTAATGCAATAAAACATGAAACACACATAAAAGTTAAACAGATTTGGAAGAAAGAAATAAGACTCTGCTCACAGATGGCATGACTGTTTATGTAAAAAATCCCCCCAAAATCAACCAAAACATTTGTGGAACTAACATGTGGTTATAGTAAGGTTGTAGAATATAATGTTAATGTACAAAAGTCAATTGATTTCTGATATACCAGCAATGGGCAACTGGAATTTGAAATTAAAAGCATAATACCATTTACTTTAGCATTGAAAAGAGAAATGTTTAGGCATAAGTTGAATAAAATACGTACCAGGTTTATATAAGAAAACTACAAACTCTGGTGAAAGAAATCAAAGATCTAAATAAATGGAGTATAAATAGAATAAAATATGTACAAAGTTTATGTGAGAAAAAACTACAAACTGATGAAAGAAATCAAAGAAGATCTAAATAAATGGAGAGATATTCTATGTACATGGATAAGAAGACTCAATATTGTCATAATGTCATTTCTTCAAAACTTGATCTGTAGATTTAATGGAACCCCAATCAAAATTCCAGCAAATTATTAAGTGGATATCCACAAACTGGTTCAAAAGTTTATATGAAATGACAAAAGATCCAGAACAGCCAACATAATATTGAAGGAGAAGAACGAAGTTCGAGGTCTAACGAACTAATTTCTGTATGATTCCAACTACATGGCATTCTGGAAAATGAAAAATTACAGACACAGTAAATAGCTCAGTGATTGCCAGGAGTTTGAGGGAAAGGGGACTAGGGGTAAATTGAACACAAGAGATTTTCAGAATAGTAACACTGTTATGTATGACACAGTAATTTTGGATACATGCCATTATATATTTGTCCAAACCCATGGAACGTCAATCACAAAGAGTGAAGCTTAATATAAACTATGGGCTTTAGTAACTAATGGTGTATCAATACTGGGTCATGGATTCTAACAAATGTGCCACACTCATGTAAGATGCTAAAAATAGGAGAAACTGCAGGGAGGTATACGGGAACTGTTTTTTTCTTTCATCTTTTTTTCTGTAAACCTAAAACTTAGTAAAAAATGAAGCATCTTATTTTTTAAAATTATCTAAATACATTAATAAAAAGTGAGAGATTAGCAAAGTAGATTTCAAAATATCCTAATCATAAGCTGTTTATAAGAAACCTACTTTACATTTAATAAAATAGGTAAATTGAAATTAAATGCATGAAAATGACATAATATGCAAATATTAACAAAATAATGCAGGAATTGCTATATTAATATCTGATGGAGAGACTTCAGAGTAAGGAAAATTACTAAAGACAAAGAAAGATATTACATATTTTTAAAAGCCAAGCTACTATGAAGACACAATGATCCTAAATGTATATAAACCAACAGAATTTTAAAATACATGGAGCAAAAGCAGAGAATACTGAAAGAAGAAATAGACAAATCTACAATTATAGTTGGGGATTCCAAACTTCTCACTAGCTGACAGAATTACTAGTCAGAAAATTAGCATAGATATAGAAAAATATGAACTACACAGTTCACCAACAGGATCCAATTGATATTCATATATAGATTTATCACATAAAGGAAACTCCAATAAGATTAAAAACTAATTGCTCATCATAAGTAATAGAAGGCAGAAGAAAGTGGAATGACATATTAAAAGTGATTAAAGAAAATAAGAGACCAAGAATCTTATATCTAGCAAAACTATATGCTAAGACTAAAGATTAAATAGACATTTTCTGGCTGGGCGTGATGGCTCACTCCTGTAATCCCAGCACTTTGGGAGGCAGAGGTGGGTGGATCACAAGGTCAGGAGATCGAGACCATCCTAGCTAACATGGTGAAACCCCGTCTCTACTAAAAATAGAAAAAATTAGCCAGGCGTGGTGGTGGGCGCCTGTAGTCCCAGCTACTCGGGAGGCTGAGGCAGGAGAATGGCGTGAACCTGGGAGTCGGAGCTTGAAGTGAGCCAAGATTGCACCACTGCACTCCAGCCTGGGCAACAGAGCAAGACTCTGTCTCGAAAAAAAAAAAAAAAAATAGACATTTTCATATAAACAAAAATTGAGAAAATGTGTTGCTGGAAGATTTATCTTGATATTTATTAACACTAACAAAAGATTTCCAAGCTGATTCCTGATACGTGTTCAACCCCATATGAGAAAACAAAGAGGCTGGTAAATTGAATTATGTAGATAATTGTTAGAGTATAATTGGATATTTTGTCTTCTTTCCTTAAATGATTTAAAATGCAATTGCATAAAATGATATGTATATACACAGATTGTTGGATTCGTAACCTATGGAAATGTAATATATTTGACAATAATGGCACAAAGGATATGAGCAGAAGCAAATCTATATTGGACCAACCAAGAGGTTGACACCAGATGGTTTTTCAGGTGTACAAAAATAAAGAGAACCAGAAATGGCAGATAAGAAGATTAATATCACAAACTTTACAAATGTATACTTGCCCTCCTTTCTTCCTCAGCTTCTTTAAAAGATGCAAAAGTAAAAAGAACAAAGCTGGAGACATCATGCTACCTGACTTCAAAGTATACTATAAGGCTACAGTGACCAAAACAGCATGGTACTGGTACCAAAACAGAGATATAGACCAATGGAACAGAACAGAGGCCTCAGAAATAACACCACACATTTACAACCATCTGATCTTTGAGAAACTTGACAAAAACAAGCAATGCGGAAAGAATTGCCTATTTAATAAATGGTATTGGGAAAACTGGCTGGCCATACGCAGAAAACTGAAACTGGACCCCTTCCTTACACCTTATACAAAATTTAACTCACGATGGATTAAAGACTTAAACATAAGACCTAAAACCATAAAAACCCTAGAAGAAAATCTAGGCAATACCATCCAGGACATAGGCATGGGCAAGGACTTTATGACTAAAACACCAAAAGCAATGGCAACAAAAGCCAAAATAGACGAATGGGATCTGGTTAAACTAAAGAGCTTCTGCACAGCTAAAGAAACTATCATCAGAGTGAACAGGCAACCTACGGAATGGGAGAAAATTTTTACAATCTGTCCATCTGACAAAAGGCGAATATCTAGAATCTACAAAGAACTTAAACAAATTTACAAGAGACAAACAACCCCATCAAAATGTGGGCAAAGGATATGAACAGACACTTCTCAAAAGAGGACATTTATGCAGCCAACAAACATATGAAGAAAAGCTCATCATCGCTGGTCATTAGAGAAAGGCAAATCAAAACCACAATGAGATACTATCTCAGACCAGTTATGTGATGCTTTTTTGTTTGTTTGTTTGTTTTTGTTTGTTTTTGTTTTTTTTTTTTTTGTTTTTTTGAGACGGAGTCTCGCTGTCGCCCAGGCTGGAGTGCAGTGGCGCGATCTCGGCTCACTGCACACTCCGCCCCCCGGGGTTCACGCCATTCTCCTGCCTCAGCCTCCCGAGTAGCTGGGACTACAGGCGCCCGCCACCTCGCCCGGCTAATTTTTTTGTATTTTTAGTAGAGACGGGGTTTCACCGTGTTAGCCAGGATGGTCTTGATCTCCTGACCTTATGATCCGCCCGCCTCGGCCTCCCAAAGTGCTGGGATTACAGGCGTGAGCCACAGCGCCCGGCCATGTGATGCTTTTATAAAGCATGCTTTCTTGCGTGCCGCTATGATTGTAAGATGTGACTTTGCTCCTCCTTGCCTTACACCGTGATTGTGAGGCCTCCCTAGCCAGGTCAAACCTCTTTCGTTTATAAATTACCCAGTCGCAAGTATGTCTTTATTAGCACTGTGAGAACAGACTGATACATCAGAGATAAAGAAGGACATGCTGTAATGTTAAAGAGACAATATATCAAGAAGGTATAAAAATTATAAACCTATGTGCACTGAACGAAATTTTTCCAAAATCTACAAAGCAAAAATTAAAGGTAGAATTAAAGGTGAATTAAAGGTAGAATTCAACAATAATAGTTGGAGATGGTAATCATAGCAGACATCAGTATCTCACTTTCGATAATCAGAAAAGCTAAATAGATGCTAGCAAGAATATGGAGGATTTGAGTAACAGTATAAACTAGCTAGATGACAGTACAGTACACCCAAAAGCGGAACATTACTCTCAAGTGCACATGGAACAGTTCCTAAAATAGATCACATGCTAGGCCAAAAACCAAACCTCAAAAAAAGTAGAAAATGATTGTTCTTTGATCAAAGTGGAATTAAATTAGAAATTAAAAACAGAAAGAACTTTGGGAAAAGCAGAACTTATAAAAATTAGCTACATACTTCTAAATAACCAATGAGTCAGAGATGAGATCATGATGAAAAATAAGCAGAAGAAAGGATATAATAAACATTGAAATAGAAATTAAAGAAATAGAAAAAATGGTAGAGCAAATCAACAAAACCAAGAGTTGGGTCTTTAAAAAGATTAACAAAATTAACAAACTTTAGCTACACTTACAGGGAGAAAGAAAGATTCAACTTACTAAAATTAAGAATGAAAGAGGGACATTACTATTGACCTTATAGAAATAAAAAGAACTATTAAAGGTACTATGAAAAAAGAATGTCAACATATTAGATAATGTTGACGAAATATCATTTCTAGAATAATATCTACCAATCATTTAAAGAATTAGTGCCATTCTTCACAAGCTCTTAAAAAAATTTTAATATTTATTACAGTATTACTTATAATAGCCAAAAAGTAAAAACAACCCCAATGTTAATTAACTGATGAATGGATAAATACAATATGGTGTATCATATATCATATATATGATATCATGTTATTGACCAACAAAAGGAATGAAGTACTAACACATGCTGCAACCTGGGTGAAAATATTATATTCTTGTAAATATCATGCTGCATAAAAGAAACCAGAACCAAAGAGTGCATTTTGTATTATTCCGTTTATATAAAATCTCCCAAACAGGCAAGTTTAGACAGTGGTTGCCTAATGATGTAAGGTGGAGGAGGAATGGGAAGTGACTGCTAATGGGTACTGGGACTCTTTGAGGGTACCAAAAATGTTATAAAATGAAACTTTGGTGATGATTGAACAACTGAATGAATATATTAATATGTATGAAACATTTTAAGTGAGTAAATTACACAAAATTTAAATTATGGCTAAACAAAGCTGTTTTTAAAAAGTGTACCAGCAGCAGAAAATTAGTTATAAATTAATCAGGATTAAACAGTGCTCATCTTGATTAAGCTTATAATGGATGATGATTATTTTACTTGTTTTATTCTGTAGTAAACAGTTTGAGATTCAGTGATTAAACAAAGGACTACCTTTACACTCTACTTATTTTTTAAGTAAAAGAAAAACATTATTAAAAAGTGTATAAACTGGTTCATGTTTATGTTAACTATCTTACCCTTCCTTCTCTTTTACTTCCAATTACTTTGGTTATGTTTCGGGTTTTATTTGATATTGTCTATGGAACCTGTTAATCATTCTTTAAAGGAAAGAGGAGGTAGGTAGGGAATAAAGTATGGAGCCATCCAAAAACGAAAAGATCTGGGAAGATGCTGTGCTGATTTAATGTTAAGAAATGTTCAGAAAGTAAACCCTTGATGTCTTGGTTTTTATTTTAGAAATATTATCTTGTTGACAATATACTAAAGTGCATACAACTGATTTAAAATAAAAATAAGGTATATGAAAATATGTAAGATGCAGCTGAAGCAGAGGTGAGAGGAAAATTTTTATTACTAAATGTTTATATTAGAAGTGATAAAGTCCTCAACCAACTAAATTCCTACCTCAAACAACAAACAAAAACAAGAAATAAAAAGAGCAAAATAAGACCAAATCAAGAAGCAGCATATTCTGGTATAACTTTCAAATTATCCTTTAAAAATAGTCATAAGTTCAGAATCTGGTGTACAAATTCTATATTATGTCTCCTTACCTTTGAAATGCATTTTTTTTTTTTTTTGAGAGACAATCTCGCTCTGTCGCCAGGCTGGAGTGCGATGGCACCATCTCGGCTCACGGCAACTTCCGCCTCCCGGGTTCAAGCAATTCTCCTGCCTCAGCCTCCGGAGTAGCTGGGACTACTGGAACGCGCCACCACATCCAGCTAATTCTTGTATTTTTAGTAGAGACGGGGTTTCATCATGTTGGCCAGGATGGTCTCCATCTCCTGACCTCTTGATCCGCTCGCCTTGGCCTCCCAAAGTGCTGGGATTAAAGGCGTGAGCCACCGCGCCTGGCCTAAAATGCGTTTCTTTTCCTTGATATAAATGTATTATCTGTACTACTATGAATACTGAAATGCCATAATTGAGGCTTTTTTTTTAACTTTGCAAATGGAATAAAGGAGAGAAGGAAGGATGAGAGTCTCCTGAGATATTTAGATAAATGTTAGAGAAAAGAAAAGATTCAAGTTGATATTCTGATAAACCTGATAAATCACATGGACAAATCTGACATTTATGCGAGTAAACGAAATGGAAAACAATATAACTGGGTGTAAATAAAGAAGGAGATAAAAAAATACGAAGTTAAATAGTCCCTCATATTGGTCACAAGGCCAAATCAGCTGGCTCAGAATGTCATTTACTGCAGAAGGCCTCACTGAATTTCCTCCTTTAAGGAATGACTTTGTTCCTAGGAAATCTACACTAGTGTATAGAAATAAAGGGGCATACTGTCTGCATCTTGCTCTTAGATAATTCAGAAAAATGTGTGTGTATATCTATATCAATACCTATCTAGAATAAACAAGTGTGATGAAATGTTAACAATTGATAAACCTGGGTAAAGGGTAGGTATATGGGAGTTCTTTGCATATTTTTTCAACTTTTATGCACATGCGAAATTATCTGCAAGTGAAAATGTTTGTAAAAATTAAAAAACATACCATTTCAAAACAGGCTGTATTTATATAAGAAGTGCCCAATGTTTTTGCTTAATTTCTTTGTGGTAAGATTTTAGTCTTCCAGGAAAAGTTTCATATTGGTTATTATTGTGAAAAATAATGAAGTGGTCTGCTTCTAATTTTTCTAAGTTCCCTTTTGAATAACTAAGCATCTACACCAAATTAAAGATACTTCTCTATAATTTTTCAAAATTCAAAAAGGATGTCTCATAAAGTAAGAAAATAAACTGTGGTTTGTTCCTCCATTGTTGTTAATTTGCAATGTCCCACTTATCTCTGATGGGATATCAGTAAATTTACTTGCCTTATTGTACTTGTTCCTTGATGTATTTCTAATGATTAATTAGAAATAATTACACATTTGTCCACTTTGGAAAGTAATGGACGTGAAGGGGGTGTGTGTGTGCACTTGTATGGACTCACACATGCATAGGTACACACACACGTATTGTGTTTTCTTGTTTTGTTTTGTGCTTTGATTTTTATTTTTAAATTGTAAATTGACAAATCGTAGTTGTGTATATTTATGGAGTACAAAATGGTGATATAATTTATGAATACAATTTGGAATAATTATATCAAGCTAATTAACATCCACCACCTCAAATACTTGTCATTTTTAATGGGGAATGCATTTGAAATTTACTCTCTTAGTGATTTTTAAAATGTAGAATTCTTTACTATGTACTATTTTCACCAAGTTTTGCAATATATCTCAAAGAAAAAAAACCCTTATTATTCCTTTTGTATAAATGAGGCTTTGTACCTTTTGTCCAATATCTATCCGTTCCACCCCGCACCTCCAGCCTCTGCTAATGACCATTCTGCTCTCTGCTTCTTTCAGTTTGATTGTTTTAGATTCCACATATAATTGAGAACATGAAGTTTTTGTCTTTTTTGGCTTCGCTTATTTCTTTTAGCATAACATTTTCCAATGTTGTTGCCAATGAAAAAATGATTTTTGTAAAGGCATGTAATTGTAACAGTCTCTTATGATCCTTTGTATTTTTGTGGTATCAGTTATAATGTCTCCTTTTTCATTTCTAATTTTATTTATTTGAGTCTTCTCTCCTTTTTTCTTAGTCTAGCTAAAAGATTATTGGTTTTATATTTTTAAGAAACTTAGTTTTGTTCATCTTTTGTGTCATTTTCTAGTTTTCATTTCACTTATTTTTGCTCTGATCTTTATTATTTTATTTCCTTCTGCTAACATTGGAAGAATTTGATATCCTTTTTCTATTTCCTTGAGGCATAATACTAAGTTGTTTATTTGAGATCTTTCTTCTTTTTGCTCTTGATGTTTATTGCTATAAACTTTCCTCTTAGAAATGCTTTTGCTGGATCTCATAAGTTTCGGTATGTTGTGTTTCCATTTTTGTTTTTCTCAAGATATTTTTACATTTCTTGTTTAATTTTTTCATTGACCTATTGGTTGTTCAAGAGCATGTTGCTTAATTCTTTTAATTTCCATTTCTTCATTGACCTATTGGTGGTTCACCACCATGTTGCTTAGTTTCCACGTATTCGTACATTTTCTGGAATTCCTTCTATTGTTGGTTTCTAGTGTCATATCATTGTTGTCTGAAAAGGTACTTGATATGATTCTAATATTAAATTTGCAAAGATTCGTCTTGTGGTCTAACCTGTTGTCTATCCTGCAGAATGTTCTATGTGTCCCTGAGAAGAATGTGTATTCTGCTGCTGTTGGGTGAAGTTTCTGTATGTGTCTATTAGGTCCATTTGGCGTAAAGCGTCCTTCAAGGTTAATGCTATTTTCTATCTTTTTTTTTTTTTTTTTTGAGACAGAATCTCGCTCTGTCACCCAGGCTGGAGTGCAGTGGCGCGATCTCGGCTCACTGCAAGCTCCGCCTCCCGGGTTCACGCCATTCTCCTGCCTCAGCCTCCCCAGCAGCTGGGACTACAGTCGCCCGCCACCACACCTGGCTAATTTTTTTGTATTTTTAGTAAAGACAGGGTTTCACCGTGTTAGCCAGGATGGTCTCAATCTCCTGACCTTGTGATCCACCTGCCTCGGCCTCCCAAAGTGCTGGGATTACAGGTGTGAGCCACTGCCCTGGTCTGTTTAGAAGTATTTTTAAAGAATTATTGCACTTCTGTTCGGATAGAAAAACAAAAATACATTTTAAGAATATATATTTATATGTATGAAAATATAAAATTTTGAAAAGTTGAATATTTCAAGCCAATTATGTAGATGTCCTTGTCCTTCCCTGAGCTGCTGACTCACGTTCCATGAAGCGGGATGGGTCTCACGGGCCTGTCAGGATGCAGGCTGTGATGTGAAGGCCGCTCGACGCTCACAGGATTGGACGGGTTTGTGAAGGAATTTGCAGCGAGGCTTAGCTCCTTAACATTTCCTTTGAGCAACATCAGTGCTTTTGACGTTTTGCACTACTGTATAAAACTGTAAGTGTATGCAGAGATGTATGTTTCTGAATAAATCACAAAATTGACAAGCAACTGCCATGCATTGTTTTTTGTATCATAGCTTACTGATAAAGTACAGACTGCAACATTTACTTATTCAAATACCTTTAAAGATCTGGTATTTTTTTGCTTCTACTTCCCAGGAATTTGACCTCAGGGACATTTTCTATTATTTCCATATCTATTGAAATGAACTCAAATCAAAAATGAGGATGTTTCATTATACATTTAAAATGTGAGTTTTCCCATTTAAAGTCACACAAACTGAGGTTACTATGAAAAAGATTTAAAATTGTGCAGAATGAATCACTGAAAAATTAGTTTATTCTAAAGATCATATATTCAGAGTAAATATATTTAAATTTTATTACTTTCAGAGTAAATATATTTAAATTTTATTCAATTTACTCTTTGTCAGCAAATTAGTGAATAACATTACTGATATCTTAGATGTTTGTGGACAGAAAGAGAATAGAGGTAAACATCATGACCCTCAAAGAGCTCAAAATCCTAAGATTTTTATGGGCAGCCCCAGAGGTATAAAATTCAAAAGGACATTACTTCTCCATTCCTGATTAGGTATGCAATGTTCTGGGATTATGCATGGCTCTCGGATCCTTGAGAGTAATAATGACAGTGATCTCTGAATTAACATAGTTCAACTTTTATAATAATTATGGCCCTCAACCATGTGAAGTTTGTGGAGCACTGAGATTTCTTGGGGCGATTTTGTAATAGCTAATTCTTAACAGCAATGTTATTTCAGGCTTTTTGGCCATTCCCTGTTACAACTGCTGATCTTTTATTCCTATAATGGTACAGAATTCTTTGAGAAAAATAAATTCATCTTTTCATTCATTTAAGGAAAAATTGTCAGCACGAGCCTATGGCTATAATGTTCTCCATCATTTAAAGAATAAAAGGAATAATCTGGTTGAAATTGAATTATCTAAGCTTATATATGGTTTTGATTCAATGGTTAACGTGCATTTTTAACAAGTGATATGGTTTGGCTGCAACATTTACTTATTCAAATACCTTTAAAGATCTGTTTTTGGTTTTTTTTTTTTTGTCTGTACTTCCCAGGAATTTGATGTCAGATGCATTTTCTATTATTTCCATATCTATTGAAATGAACTCAAATAAAAAAAGGGGATGTTTCATTACACACTTATTAATGTGTAATTTAAGATTAATGTGTAATCTTGTAATTCCCATAATCCTTATGTGTCAAGGGTGGGACCAGATGGACATAATTGAATCACAGGGGTGGTTTTCTCCAAGCTGTTCTCGTGATAGTGAGTTCTCACAAGATCTGACGGTTTTATAAGGGGCTTCTTCCTTCACTCAGAACTCATTGTTTCTGCTGCCACCCTGTGAAGAGGTGCCTTTGGCCATGATTGTAAGTTTCCTGAGGCATCCCCAGCCATGTGAAACTATGAGTCAATTAAACTTCTTTTCTTTATAAATTACCCAGTCTTGAGGAGTTCTTCATAACAGCATGAAAACAGACTAATACAGTAAATTGGTACCACAGACATAGGGTGCTGTTATAAGGATACACTAAAATGTGGAAGTGACTTTGGAACTGGGCAACAGGCAGAGGTTGGAATAGTTTGGAGGGTTCAGAAGAAGACAGTAAAGGCTGGGTGTGGTGGCTCATCCCTGTAATCCCAGGACTTTGGGAGACCGAGGCAGGTGGATGACCTGGGATCAGGAGTGTGAGACCAGCCTGGCCAACATGGTGAAACCCCATCTCTACTAAAAATATAAAATTAGCTGGGCATCATGATGCATGCCTGTAATCCCAGCTACTTGGGAGGCTGAGGCAGGAGAATGGCTTGAACATGGGAGGTGGAGGTTGCAGTGAGCAGAGATTGCACCACTGCATTCCAGCCTGGGCAACAAGAGCGAAACTCCATCTCAAAAAAAAAAAAGAAGACAGAAGAATGTGGGAAAGTGTGGAACTTCCTAGAGACTTGGAGGACTTGGAAGACAAGAAGATGTGGGAAAGTTTGGGACTTCCTAGAGACTTGAATGGCTTCTACCAAAATGTTGATAGTGACATGGAAAATGAAGTCCAGGCTGAGGTGGTCTCAGATGGAGATGAGGAACTTGTTGGGAACTGGGATAAAGGTGATTCTTGCTACGCTTTAGCAAAGAGACTGCAACACTTTGCCCCTGCCCTGGAGAGCTGTGGAAGTTTGAACTTGAGAGAGATGATTTAGGGTATCTCGTGGAAGAAATTTCTAAGCAGCAAAGTGTTCAAGAGGAAGCAGAGCATAAAAGTTTGGAAAACTTGCAGCCTGACAAGGCGATAGAAAAGAAAAACCCATTTTCTTGGGAGAAATTCAAGCCAGCTGCAGAAATTTGCAGAACAAGGAGTGGAATACTAATTACCAAGACAATGAGGGAAATGTCTCCAGGGCAAGTCAGAGACCTTCTTGGCAGCCTCTCCCATCACAGGCCTGGAAACCTAGGAGGGAAAAATGGTTTCATGGGCCCAAGACCCCCTGTTCTGTGCAGCTTTGAGACATGGTGCCCTGTCTCCCAGATGCTTCAGCTCCAGCCACAGTTAAAAGGGGCCAAGGTACAGCTCAGGCCATTGCTTCAGAGGGTCCAAGCTCCAAGCCTTGGAGGCTTCCATGTGGTGTTGAGCCTGTGGGTTCACAGAAGTCAAGAATTGAGGTTTGGGAACCTTCACCTGGATTTCAGAGGATGTATGGAAATGCCTGGATACCCAGGCAGAAGTTTGCTGCAGGGGCAAAGCCCTCATGGAGAACCTCTGCTAGGACAGTGCAGAACGGAAATGTGGGGTTGGAGCCCCCACACAGAGTCCTCACTGGGGTACTACCTAGTGGAGCTGTGAGAAGAGGGTCACTGTCCTCCAGACCCCAGCATGGTAGATCCACTGACAACTTTCACTGTGCCCCTGGAAAAGCCACAGACACTCAATGCCAGCCCATGAAAGCAACCAGGAGGGGGTTGTACCCTGCAAAGCCACAGGGGTGGAGCTGCCCATGGCCATGGGAGCTTACTTCTTGCATCAGTGTGACCTGGATGTGAGACCTGGAATCAAAGGAGAACATTTTGGAACTTTAAGGTTTAATGACTGCCTTATTGGATTTCAGACTTGCATAGGGCCTGTAGCCCCTTTGTTTTGGCCAATTTCTCCCATTTGGAATGGGTGTATTTACCCAATGCCTGTGTCTCCATTGTATCTACAAAGTAACTAACTTGCTTTTGATTTTACAGGCTCATAGGTGGAAGGGACTTGACTCAGATGAAACTCTGGACTTGGACATTTGGGTTAATGTTGTAATGAGCTAAGACTCTGGGGAACTGTTGGAAAGGTATGATTGTGTTTTGAAATGTGAGGACATGAGACTTGGAGGGGGGCCAGGGACAGAATGATATGATTTGGCTCTGTGTCCCCACCCAAATCGCATCTTGAATTGCAGTTCCCATAATCCCCAAGTGTAAAGGGTAGGATCAGGTGAACATAATTGAATCATGGGGT
Organism: Homo sapiens; assembly: GCF_000001405.40. Taxonomy (NCBI): domain Eukaryota; kingdom Metazoa; phylum Chordata; class Mammalia; order Primates; family Hominidae; genus Homo; species Homo sapiens. Next base: position 61,299,358 of record NC_000009.12, on the reverse strand, counting down.
AGTTGCCCCCATGCTGTTCTCATGATGGTGGGTGAGTTCTCATGAGATCTGATCATTTTATAAGGGGCTTCCCCTTTGCTCAAAACTCATTATTTCTGCTGCCACCATGTGAAGAGGTGCCTTCTGCCATGATTGTAAGTTTCCTGAGGCTTCCCTAGCCATGTGGAACTGTGAATCAATTAAACCTCTTTTCTTTATAATTACCCAGTCTTGGATATTTCTTCATAGCAGCATGAGAATGGACTAATACAAGATGTGAGTGCATTTCCAGTTAATAAATAGGTAATATTTTCTGTGTTTTCTGCTATGGTAATGAATTGCATTACAACTTCACTAAAGAGAGAAATCACTCACAATTTGAGACCTAAACCAAGAGCTGAAGAAAGTGCAAAGAGGCCTACAATAATTCCTATAAGTTATTTCCAATGGAAGGCCTCTGTGTATGTAGTACTGTAATAGAAAAACCTATGGAATAAAAAGAATGCATTCTCTGAGTAATGTTATGCAGTTTAATTAACCCTTCTCTGTATATTTTTGGCAGCTGTCATCTGTATTATAGGGATAATACAATTAATGGTACTGTCATGATTACATAAGTGAGATGAGTGAGGCATTTTTTTTGTTTTTTGTTTGTTTGTTTGTTTGTTTTGAGACAGAGTCTTGCTCTGTCGCCAGGTTGGAGTGCTGTGGCGCAATCTTGGCTCACTGCAACCTGCAACTCCCTGGTTCATGCGATTCTGCTGACTCAGCCTTCTGAGGAGGCCATTGTGTGTGTGTGCTGAGGGGTTCCCTTATTGGGCAAAATGTACAGGGTAGCAAGGGATTTTTGGCAGCAAAGGATTGTGATTGGGTGGGGAGGAGTAGTAATATTTCATGAGAAGTAAGTTGAGAAGCAAACAAGTGCTGTGTGTTTTCATTAAGCAATAGGGTCGACACAGCATGGGAACATACACATCAAGTGGGCGGCCTAACACTAAATCAGAAGTAGCCTGGATGAGTTGGAAGTCATGGCCACTGTTTGTAGGCCAGGAGGATATGCTTTAGCACTGGCTGGTTTTGTGGGAAAACAGAGAGAAAGACATGGCTGAGTCTCAGGGTGCTCAGAGAAGGCCACAGCCTTGGGGTGCCGTGGTGACCACAAACACTTCCCCCATCCCATACCAATCTTTAAGAGCCTTTTCCTCCTTAAAGGCCTGTCACTTAGCAAAGAGCTTTCAATGAACCCTCCCCTCTGGGCCACTTGTTGGATTGCAGCCAATCAGTGATGGAGGGCTGGACACAACTGTGGGATGCTGTGATTTGGTTTGGCTCCTGGGTCTAGAGTGCTCTGGGGTCCACTGTACTTCTGGGATAAAACGCCAAGGCCATGACTCTCTTGCTAATTTACAAACAAAAGATTGAGGGCTAGCTAAACAAGGACAGAGAGGAAGCAGCTTTCTGTAAGACACACCCACCAGTGTGCCCTGTCAGTTTACCATTGCCATGGCAACACTCAGGCATTACCACCCCTTTCAGCAACAATGACCTGATGACCCAAAAATTACCACCCTTTTCCTAACAATTTCTGCACAAACCACCCCTGAATCTGCATGTAATTAAAAGTAGGTATACATATGACTGCAAAACTGGGCTCAGCCACTACTCTCGGCACCCTGCCTATGGGGCAACCCTGGGAGCAGTCACTGAGCTGTGACCCCACAGGAGCTGCAACAGTGTTGCTTTGATAAAGGTGTTTTCTTCCACCTTACCACTGGCTCGCCCTTGAATCCTTTCCTGGGTGAAGCCAAGAACCCTTGCAGGCTAAGCCCCACTTTGGGGTTTGCCTGCCCTGCATCAGCATCAGGTTTGTTTTTTAAACTTGTAAAATAGTTTTTGTGATTCTGTCATGTATTTTGCAGTCATGAACTAACATATTTTTTCCTCAATTGTCAGTTGCAGTTTCCTCAAAGATCATTATAAATACTCCTTAACCTACAAAGTTTGGCAGTCACAGCCTGCTCTTCGAGGAACAGCCTGACTCACCATCAAGTGGCTCCTCAGGTGGTTTTACTTCCCATGTTTCCCATGTGAGGTACTATGCCTCAGTGATTCCTGGCAAAACTAGGATTCTCTGTTAGTATTGTGCTAACTTTGGAGTGAGTTTCTTTTGGTGAGTAATAATTTTAGTCAATGATACTACTGATTATTTTATCTTTTTTTAGGCTTATGATGAATGCTTGATTTATGATTAATACGTTTTTCACTTTTACACATTTCAAGGAAGGAAACAAGAACAGACAGAAACACAACATACTTCATGAAACCACATTTTAACATCCTGGCCGAGTATTCATCACTCAGCAAGATAGAGAGACATAAACTATTTCCAGCAAGAATACTTCATAAATGATGAATAGAAGAAAAATAGAAGTCCTAAAAATCTTGCAGAACTGTCTTAATTTACTAATATATTTACACTGTATCCTAAGTCACTCTCTAGCTTCTTGCTCTAAGCATATGAAATGTAAGAGCTAATGGGAACCCCAGTGCCTGTATAAATAACAAGAACCAGCATGTCTTTATTTATGGCAGGGAACACTCTACAACCTGGGACAAATGCCACTCTGCTTCAGTTTGGGGAAGCTCCTCACTTTACCATCCTGACGTTTAATAAATGATTCAAAGGCAACTACAGATGCAACCTGAGCCACTGGATGGGCTTTTGTAAATAAAGTTATCTCACCTGGCATTCATTACAGAGAAAACAAGAAATAAGGCACTACATGTCATATTTGTCTAGATCCTATACCTATTTAGGTTCACATTAAAATGAAGAGAAAACAACATAGGCTGAGAATCAGAAAACCTGAACTCTGTCCCAGCTCAGCCACTGGCCACAGGGAATTAACCAATCTCTTTGAACGTCAGTTTCTTCATTAAGCATCGTAGAGAATGTCAAAACCAACTTTATAAATACTGTCATTCCAAAACCACACAATTCAAATATAAATAATCTTTATAAGGTAAAACAAAAATGTACATAATACTTTACATAAACATTTTTAGAATAAGTTTATTATAACTCGATAAGCAAAATAATCCAAACCTTTATACATTTCTACAAGGATAGTCACGTATGTCAATTTTTCGGTTTCCTCTCGTGCCTATTTTGTCTCCTGAGCCGGCCCCTTTCCAGCTGACACGTGTGCTCCGTGTTCTCCCACAATAGCCTGACCTGGCCTGAGTCCACGCCCCTGTGAGCCTCCTTTCTTTGCTTACAACAGCAGCCTGCCTGATGTCAGTTATGGACTATTCTTTCTTTCAGCCTCATTTCAGGGTCCTCTGCCTCTTAGAGCTGCTGCTGTAGCTTAGCTAGAGACCCGCTGCTGTTGCATCATGGAAAAGTGCCACATACGTGCACATGTGAAAGAATACGCAGACCTTCATGTTGGGTTTTAGTTTTAGAAAAAGTCAGAAGTAGCTTCACTTGATTTCAGCTTGTAAAGACATAGGAGGGAGGCAACTGAGAATCACCGTTGCAAAAAGCAAACATCAAAAATCACATTAAAATGCTGAAGTGTTGTGGAGCACAAACCTAGCTTTATTGGATCAAGCATTCGTGAGAGTTCTTCTACTTGCTTTGTTATGCTTTCTATCAGACAGGGCTCATTCTCTGTCTTTTTTTTTAACATATTCATTTTTTCCTTTGGTCTGTTTAGATTATTATCACATCTTATGTTTTAAAACTAGCAAAATATTATGTGTAAGTCATGAACACAGTGTAAGAAATAATAAAATGAACACTGATGTACACATTACCTGCTTAAGAATCAAAAACTACCCATATTTTTAGAGTCCTTAACACTGTCCTGTTAATTAGTCCCATTTCTTGCCTTTATAATTTTGCCAAAATAAATGCATTAGTAAAGGACATTGAACATTATTGTTTTACATGTTTTTCAGTTTAAACAAATGGGATCACACTGAATATATTTTTCTGAAATTGCTTTTTGGTTCAATATTAAATTTGTAAGATTCATTCTTATGATATGTTTATCTGTACTTTCTGTGCATTGATTTAGAGTATTCCATCACAGGATAATACTATAATGAGCATTCCATTTTATTAGATTGGGGTTATTATCCATTTTTTTCTGTTACAAAAAGTAGATGTCCTTTTCTTGTATGAGTCTCCTGGACATAAGAGTTAGATTTTCTCTAAGGTATAAACCCAACATTCAAATCATTGTGTCAAAAGATTTGTACACTAAGTTAAAATGAACTGTTTTCCGATTTATGCTCCCATGAGAAGTTAAAGGTTCTGATAGATCTATATTCTCAACAATACCTAATAGTATCACAGTTTGTTTTTTTTTTTTTTTTTTGAGACAGAGTCTCGCTCTGTCACCCAGGCTGGAGTACAGTGGCGTGATCTCGGCTCACTGCAAGCTCCGCCTTCTGGTTTCACACCATTCTCCTGCCTCAGCCTCCTAAGTAGCTGGGACCACAGGTGCCTACCACCACGCCCGGCTAATTTTTTGTATTTTTGTTAGAGACGGGGTTTCACCGTGTTAGCCAGGTTGGTCTCGATCTCCTGACTTTGTGATCTGCCTGCCTTAGCCTCCCATAATGCTGGGATTACAGGCATGAGCCACCGTGCCTGGCCAGTATCACACTTTTTAACATTAGTTAACTTGGTTTGTCATTGGAATTTTAATCTGCATTTTTTAGAAGTACTGAATCAAGAAAAAAATCAAGTAATGAAAAAAATGTTATTTTAGTAAATAAAAATGCTATAAAGACAATAAAGCAAGTGAACGTAGTCAAAAGCGGAGAGGGGCTACTTCATTTTGATAGTCAAAGATGGCCTTGCTGGTCATCTGAGTTGAGAGGTGGCTGGCAAGATGAGAAGAGATGTTAAGTAGCTGTGGAAGGGGCCTGCTGGCACAGGGCATGCTCTAAGGCCCTGAAAAGAGGCAAACATTCTTTCCCTCTAAATACCTGAACTAAGTAAAAACAGTCCTGGCTTTGCACATTTGAATATGCACAGGTTTAATTAACATAGTTTAGTTAAATAGCACTAGTCTCCCAAAAACGTGGTTACAATTTCAGTTACCACAATATGCTAACTGTGAGCAACTGCATAAAATCCAAACTTCGTTCCCAGCTCTTAATTCCACAAATGCCTATGTGAGTAAATAACAGGCAAGCATCATGATTAGGGACTGTATTAATCTTGTGGGGATGCTGCAACAAAGTATGAAAAGCCGGGTTGCTTAAAACAACAGAAATGTATTGACTCGTAGTTGTGGAGGCTAGAAGTCAGAAATCAATGTGTTGGCAGGTTCATGCTCTCTGCTGGCTCTAGGGGAGAATCCTTCTTCCCCTCTCCTTCCTGTTTGGGTTTGCCAGCCATCCTTGTTGTTGTCTGATCTATAGATATATCACTCTGTTTTCTCTATGTGTCTTCACATCGTCTTTTTTTGTGTGTGTGTCTGGAGCTGTATCCAAATTCTCCTTTATTATAAGACACCAGTTAGTCTATTGGATTAGGACCCACCCTAATGACCTCATTTTAACTTGAGAACCTCTGTAAATGTGCTATTTCCAAATAAGATCATATTATTTTGAGATATTGGGGATTAGGATTTCAAATATATCTTTTTAGGGGGACACAATTCACTTCCTTCAAAGCCTGTCAGTGACTGCTCACTGTGCATCTGCTAGTTTGCACACAGACAGCAAAGTCTGCAATCGTGTTGACTCCTTGTCTCCCAGTGAGAAACCCATGTGACATTTATAAATATGAATAATCAGAAGAAAAAACTGGTCAACAACCATTGATGTGCAGCAAAGAAATAAAAAATGTGATAACCCTGGAAGTGTATTCAAATACAATGTAAATGGAATCATAGAATTGGCTCACCACAGGAAATGCAGCAAGAGGAACTCGGCGCAACGCAGTGTTCTGACATAAATGAGGAACGCAGCTGTGATGAAAAGGATGAAGAAGCCCCAGAGGAAGTGATGCCGGCAAAGACAGCAACAAACTTCATATTAAAGGAACTCTTGTAGATATTGCATGACAATGTTGACAATGTTAGATGCTGTTCCGAAAACAGCACGACAGTTCACCAAGGCATAGAAACACTGCTGGCTCCTTATCATAAGCTATACGACAAGAGGGAGGCAAGCACTGTTCAAACTGGGCTTGATATACGTCTATAAATAAATAAAGCACTTTAATTGGCTGTTGTTTAATGTTTTAAATTACAGTGTAAAAATGAAGTACTCCCAACCAGGCACGGTGGCTCACTCCTGTAATCCCAGCACTTTGGGAGGCTGAGGCGGATAATGAGGTCAGGAGATCAAGATCATCCTGGCTAACACAGTGAAACCCTGTCTGTACTAAAAATAGAAAAAATCAGCCTGGTGTGGTGGCATGCCACAACTACTTGGGAGGCTGAGGCAGAAGAATCGCTTGAACCCAAGAAGTGGAGCTTGCAGTGAGCCGAGATCGTGCCACTGCACTCCAGTCTGGGCGACAGAGCGAGACTCCATCTCAAAAAAAAAAAAAAAAAAAGTACTAATTTCACTATGTTTCATTTCCTTATACATTTATAACCAACAGTAAGAGATTTTTAATGTTTTGGCCAAAATTTTTAAATGACACAGAACAGTCGATGTTTCACATGGATTATTTAGGTCACTTTACAGATCTTTAGCTTACATAGTGATTTGTATGGCCCTGCACTGCTGTGCAAAGAGAGGACTGTCTGTGTTCTTAACCAGTAAGAAGGAGGGCAAGACAGAGGTTCTCAGCCAGATATTGCATACGTAATAAAATGATGGGAGAGGGAATAGCACTTTAGATATGAAATGTACCGTGTGGGGAAGCTATTTGAACAACAACAACAAAATAGCTTAATTTAACCCGATGGAGTACACTCAGCCACCTTCTAGATGTCCCTGCTTATTCTTCAAATCTTCTCTTTTGTGGCCCCAAAGAATGATTCACTCTCTGGAGTGAAAAATAACCGTTGCTTTCTTTGCCTGGAACTTTAAACTGACTTGTGCTGTATCATCCAAACCTGTTCAATTCTCTCTTTTCTATTACTCAGTGAGGTCCAAAGGAGCCAAAGACAAATCTCTCCTGTTTTTCTTCGAAATGTAAAGATGTTGCATCTGTAACCACAGGCTGCTTTTAATCCTAAAAGTCAGCGTGATAATGAAATCCAGTGATTAATTTCTGTCTTCTAATCAATAAGTAGACATATCAATTTATAGTATGTTAGAAAGCCTCAACTCCACTGAAACAAAAAGCAAGAGGCTCTGCAAATGTTGGAGTGTGCTAAAGGAAAAGCATGGACTGATGTTTGGGGAAAGGTTGGTCAATGTGATGAGGCCATCTGTGTTTGCTAATAGTGCTTATCAAAGTTAGGTTCCTACGCAGAGACAGAGACCAGGAGACAATCCTGTATCCTTCTTGATCCTTATAGTCCAAAGGGATAGCTCCTAAGTCTTTGAGAAAGACATTCTGTGTTATAGGAGATTTAAAGGGACAGAGAAAAGGTTTATAACTACAGGTTTTCTGTTTTTTTGTGTTTTTTTTTTTTTCTAGACGGAATCTCACTCTGTCACCAAGCTAGAGTGTAGTGGGGCGATCTCGGCTCACTGCAACCTCCGCTTCCCAAGTTCAAGTGATTCTCCTGCCTCAGCCTCCCAAGTAGCTGGGACTACATGTGTGTGCCACCACGCCCAACTAATTTTTGTATTTTTAGTAGAGACGGGTTTTCACCATGTTGGCCAGGATGGTCTTGCTCTCTTGACCTCAAGATCCACCCTCCTCAGCCTCCGAAAGTGATGGGATTTGAGCCACCACGCCTGGCCATAATTGCAAGTTTTCTAAAGTTAAAGCTCTTAGAAATGGGAGGTCAGGGGCCTATAGTCAAGTTTTGGGTGGGACAAACAGTAAATTCTTTTGGCAGAATTGAATGTTCCCAGGCAGGTGCTTTAGAGGGGTATGGGGCATCGTAGGGACGTGGCTCTGAGCTGATAGAGGCTGTGTTGGAATTTGGCCAAGTCCCTTACTGTATGTATGAGGAGGAGGGATGTGCAGAAGAAGTTGTTTGTGCCAAGAATTTGCGGTTTTCACAGGTTAAGACAGCGGTGCCTGGGATCATCTGCAAGGCATGAGTCAAATGTTGACACAATGATTGTTTGCAGACTCATCTGAGGGCTTAGGCAGATCTGGACCTGTTGATACTGAAGTTTCTGAAGGTAGAGGAAGAAAATATAATGTCTCAATAATATCTGAAGTAGGGGTAGGAAAACAGAGATTTAAGGAGGTGAGATCCCTTCAGGCCTCAGAAAGAAGCTTCACTTCTTGTGCCTCCCTTCAGAATAAATGGGTCATTAAATTAGTTCTTTGTAACTAACCTAGGCATGATGGTGAAGAAGGGAATAGTGAGAGGAAGAACTTTAAATAAATATGCCTGAGAGATCATACTAGATTAATGGGAGAGAAAGAAATTTCCAAGAAGCTGTCATGGGAAAGGGCTCACGAATAATAATTTAAAAATTAGTTATTGATAATATGAATAAATCAATAAAAATAAATAAAAAGAGATCTGCCAATAGCCACACTTACAGCACCAGATAGATTTTAAATAAATTAAAATTTGAGTTTTTAATGAATTTTCTACAATCCAAAATTTATTTGTTTAATTTTTGCAACGAAACACCATTTCTTTACTTTTTGCAAAAGTAAAAGTAAGATGCTACTTGTACTTTTTAAATAAAACTAATTTTAAAGAAAAACATAATTAGCCAGATGTGGTGGCAGGCACCTGTAATCCCAGCTACTGGGGAGGCTGAGGCAGGAGAATTGTGGAGGTTGCAGTGAGCCCAGAAGGCCCCACTGCATCCAGCCTGGGTGACAGAGCGAGACAGTCTCAAGCTTCTTCAGTACTCACATGTAAACTTCTACTTTCCCCTTCAGATTACAGCAACCATCATGCCAAAGCTATACACTCTCAGGGAATCCCTGTGGATTTCACTGATGACCACTTGACCAACTATCATAAAGATCAAGGCCAGGGGTTCTCAAACTCTCAACATTTGTGTGCTCATCTCCCCTTCACCCAGAGACTCCCCAGGGCTGCTGGGCCACACTTTGTTTTGTTTGACTGGAACATAGTTTGAAAGGGATGGAAATTTCCAAAAGGTGTTAATAGACACATAAAGATTTTTAAATATTAAAAAAAAGAAAAAGAAAGAAAGAAGGAAATGGGCATTTGTGAACTTTGGTCATGAGAACGCAGGCCTCGCAGTACTTAACTACTCCTTCCAAACCCCTGTCCAAAGAGAGGACCAAACTCTAGTGAGGCTTCCAGCAGCACAAGGATGTCCCACGGATGACCCCAGCCCTCCTTAAAATGACTGCCTGAGAAAGCTCACTTGCAAGGAGAATTTACTGTTTGTTTCAGGCAAAACCTGGTGATGGGCAGGTAGAGCCCTGAATCCCCTCTTAGAACCTTAGAAAGCTTGCAATTATAAATCTTTTCTCTGCCTTTGAAGTGTAAATCTACATCCCAGAATTGTCTCCCCAAAGACCTGAGAGCTGTCTCTTTGAAATGCAAACATTCAGGAAGCTAACTCTTGCTCTTGTTGCCAGTTCCTGAGGGAGGGGAAAGGCCTAGCTTTGGCGAGCACCTTGCTCCAGCTTGCACCTCTGACTCTTTTATTGCCATGAAAATCAACATGTAGACTTTTTTCAAACCCAATGACAGCCCATTACAATGGAGGCCATAGCGATGGAGGTCTCTACATGCAAAAAAAATGGTGGGACAGTTTCCTGACAACAGTCCAACTTTATTCCAAGGATAAGCATGTCATGAAATTATTGGATGGCAGATTATGCTTGAGTTATCTATGGTCTTCCTTTTTCTCCCTGGTCTCATCCCAATAGCTTACAGATCCTTTAAAGGCAAAGGCCAAATATTCAGCTAAGTTAGGCATACTTCAGATGCCAATATCAATTTTAGCTATATGGGAGATCCCACTTAAGATATTGAGGACGATCATGTGTGTACAGGGCAAAAAGTATGGGACAAAGAGATAAGAAGGGGATGGGAAATCACACCCTCCCTCCGCACCACAGACCATGACCTGGGGCAGGTCCTGTAACACCAAGCCCACCCAGGCCCCATCTAACAGTATGCCGCACTCTACATGACCTCAGAGTTCTTTCGGAATTCCAGCTGAAAAGCTGAAAAGAAATACTATATAGTTGTGGTTTCCAGCTGGCCCATGTTAGTATGTATAGCTTTTCTTCCTTGCCATGAAAGCACTATGGGAGAACGAAGCCCGATGCTGAGCATGCTTTGCCAGGTGGGTGCTGCTGAATCACAGACCTCAGCGACTGTGTTCCACCTCCACAGAGGCCGGGAATGTTTGTTTCCCCAGTGTGTTCATATATTTCAGCCAGTGTCTTGCACTTTGCCCTCTCAGTTTGCTTCACTTTCTGGCTCAGTGAAGCTGACCTGCAAGTCTCCCTGCAGTTTCCCTCAACAAGTGCTCACTGGGCAGCCCCAACATGTGAGAAACGGCTGTAGGGTGCACAGAGGTGAACTAAATTACTAAAAACTATTACTTTACTAAAATGTTTCCTGGATTCCAAAACTCACCAACTGGGAGAAAGGTCAGACACACACGGAGACAACTCATCTACACAAATGATCATCAGTGATTTAAAGAAGGTGCAGGAGATCATAGAATAAGAACAAGAAGAGATTACTTTCCAGGGCTCTCAGAAAGTTTCTGAAACGAAGTGCCATTGACCCTGACCTTAGCATTGTGATGGAGACATTACAGAGCTGGTAGGAAGGAGAAGAAGAAGGAACGGCTGGAACACACTTGGGGTGAAATGAGCAGCATTTCAGTGTGGGAGCTGCAGACTCGGTTTTGGTGGAAGAGTTAGGAGCCAGGATCTTGTCAGGAATAATTCTGTGTCCAAGTGCAGAATCGTGGTTTGCTCCATTACTGCCAGTAACTCCATTTCTCAATCATGATGGTGATGCTTTTTTTTGGCTCTCAATCCTGGAGATTGGCCGTACTGAAGTCACATTACAACAATTAACTTTTCAACTATTAGATGATTAATTTTTACCAAGTAGCAAGAACAGCTGTTTGGCACATAGCAGTGTGGCATGAGTATCTTGTAAATGAATTAAACAAAATATCTCTCCAGCACACACACAGTCATTCTTGCTGCATGTCAGCCTCCACTTCTCCCTCCATTATTTGATGCCGTGAAGCTGAGGCAGCCAGCTTGAGCGAAAGTTTTCAGATCTCACTCCAACAAAGAGCTTTGATTGATTCACTTAGTATAAGGTGTTTTATCTAGCTAAAGAAATCCAAGCTGAGTTTTATTAATTACTAAGAAAAATATCTGTGCAATAGATTAATCTTTGATCAAAACTATGTGTGAAGTAGAAACATATTACACATATGGAGAGCAATATTATGGAATAAAAACAACCTATGTGTGGCATAATTGACATTGTCTTTATATTTTTGGGGGGGCTGAAGACGCAGTCTCACTCTGTCGCCAGGCTGGAGTGCAGTGACACGATCTTGGCTCACTGCAATCTCCGCCTCCTGGGTTCAAGCTATTCTCCTGCCTCAGCCTCCTGAGTAGCTGGGATTACAGGTGCATGCTGCCACACCCAGCTAATTTTTGTATTTTTAGTAGAGACAGAGTTTCACCATGTTGTCCAGGATGGCCTCGATCTCCTGACCTCATGATCCTCTCGCCTCAGCCTCCCAAACTGCTGAGATTACAGGCATGAACCACCTTGCCTCGCCTATAAATAATTTTTGAAACAGATACAGAATATATAGATAGCTTAACAATTATAAAATTGTATTTATCAAGTATGTCACGAGGTAAACATTTTATGCTATGCAAAAGGGAGCAAACCTCCGAATTTGTCATGCAGGGTCACTAGTGGAACTCACAGCAACAGGTCTGATAAAGCAGAGGAGGGAACCAGGCTTCCGTGTGCTTTAGAGAGAGTGAAACATGAGGAGTCATAGGCAGAGAAAACTGTTTTTCAGAAAGAAAAGAAAGGGGACATGACAGCCCAGCAGTAGGGTGAAGAGGGCCTCTCCGTGGGTGCCACTGGCTTGAGCTGCTGTAAGTGGCTGTGCCTGGAACAGAGGATCTGGATAGGAGAATGGGGAAGGGAGTGCTGGAACCGGGGGTGGGCAGGAGCAGCAGTCTGGAGACCAGAATGACCTAGGGTTTCCTCTCATGCTCCCATTCCCAGTGTTTCACGTGTGTAAAGTAGCAAGCATGCATATACTGCTTAGAGGCATCTACACTTACATACTACACTCATATCCAACACTTGCATCGTACAAAGTACACATAGTAGGTGTGGCATGTAATAAGTTACCCTCTTATATTTTCTTCTAAAAGATTTTTAAATATTTGCATCTCAAATTTAAGTCCTTTGTCCATTTAGATCTGGCCTTTGTGTGATAGGGATCCATTTTTGGGATAGAGATGCATTCTGATATTTTCCCATATGGATACCAATTGCTCATACCATGGATCATATAGACCCTTTCTGACTGTTCTGTAATGTTAGCCAGGGCATACATCAAGATTTCACACAAGCATACACTTTCACAATAGCAATTCCTGCTGTGGTAATTATAACTTCACAGCAAATCTGGTACGAGATAGACTCACATAAGCTCCACCTCCCACCTTCGCACACTTTAGTCTTCTATGGGATTGTCTTAGTTATACTGGGCCCTTTTCTCTTCCGTATAAGCTTTGGAAGCAGTTTAGTGACAATGGTACTCTTGTCTTTTTCTTGATTTTAAAAGGAGTGATTTCAATATTTTTAATCACAAAACATGATAGGTGCTGTAGGTTATTTGTCGACTCCTTTTATCAGGTTAAGGAAGTTACCCTTTATTCATAGGTGGAAATATCAATAATTTAATTTTTGTAAATTTTTTTTTTTTTTTTTTTTGAGAGGGATTCTCACTTTGTGGCCCAGGCTGGAGTGCAGTGGCGGGATCTCGGCTCACTGCAAGCTCCGCCTCCCGGATTCACACCATTCTTCTGGCTCAGCCTCCCGAGTAGCTGGGACTACAGGCGCCCGCCTCCACGTCCAGCTAATTTTTTTTTTTTTTTAGTAGAGACAGGGTTTCATTGTGTTAGCCAGGATGGTCTCAATCTCCTGACCTCGTGATCCACCCGCCTCAGCCTCCCAAAGTGCTGGGATTACAGACGTGAGCCACTGTGCCCAGCTGTAAAATAATTTTATAGGCCTTTTGAGACAATCATATAATTTTTGTCTTTAATTTGTTGATAAGGAGATAATTTCAGTAGATTTTCTAACACTGAACTAAATTTGCATTACTAACCGAGCTTGTTCATGGTTTTTATACTTTGCTAGGTATACCTCCTAGTATTTTGTTTACACTATTTGTCTGTGTGCATGGATGAGGTACACCATAGCAAGGTTATCCTAGTATCATATGAATTAAAGAATGGTCTCTTTTTTTTCCCCTCGCAGATTATTAGTGTAACATTGGAGCTACTGGTGACATCATCTAGGCATCATGTTTTCTTTGTAGAATTATTAATTATTAACTCAATTACTTTAATGGTATGATTTCCATCTAGATTTTCTAATTGTTTGAGTCAACTTTGATATGTTATATGTATCCAAAAATGTGTTAATCTCACTTATTTACAAATGCATATATATGTCTTGTTACTTAATGAAATAGATCATAAATATAAAAGTGTGTGTGTACAGCTTAAGAAGAATATAAAATGAGCATATGCGCCCTTCCTTCAGGTTATGAAATAGAATATTTCCAGTATCTTAGAAACTCCCATTGCCCTTCTTCAATGCCACTCACTCTTTCCACAAGAGGTAACCACTATCCCTAACTTCCTGTTAATCATTCCATTGCTTGTCATTATAGACTTGCATATTGTTTAGTTTTGCACATGTTTGACTTTTTTAATAAGTGAAACTGTGTATTGTTTCTTGTTGTTTTTTTTCTGAGACGTAGTCTCCCTCTGTTGCCCAGGCTGGAGTGCAGTGGCGTGATCTCCGCTTACTGCAAGCTCCGCCTCCCGGGTTCATGCCATTCTCCTGCCTCAGCCTCCCGAGTAGCTGGGACTACAGGTGCCCACCACCACGCCTGGCTAATTTTTTATATTTTTTTTAGTAGAGACGGGGTTTCACCGTGTTAGCCAGGATGGTCTCGATCTCCTGACCTCATGATCTGCCCACCTCAGCCTCCCAAAGTGCTGGGATTACGGGCGTGAGCCACCGTGCCTGGCCAACTATGTATTGTTTCTTGTGATTAGATATGCATACACACAAACATGTGTATGCATATATATATATATATATATATATATATACACACATGTACACACACATTATTTTTTAGAGCAGTTTAAAGTTCACAGCAAAACTGAGCAGAAGGTATAGATTTCCCATATACTCCCTGCCCCCCACACATGCATAGCTTCTCTCATGATAAACGCCCCCCACCAGAGTGCTGCATTTGTTACAATTAATGATACATGATACATCTTATAGTTTGCATTAAGGTTCACACTTGGGCTTGGACAAATTTACAATGACAAGTATTCACTATTAAAATATCATACATGTACTTTCAGGGCCCTACGCATCCTCTGTGCTCTAGTTATTCATTCCTCTCTTCCTCCTAACTCCTGGAAACCACTGATTTTTTTTTTTCTATCTCTATAGTTTTACCTTTTCCAGAAAGGTCATATAGTTGGAAGTGACAGTATGTAGCCGTTTTAGATTGGCTTCTTTCACTTTGTAATATGCATATAAGCGTCCTCTGTGTCTTTTCGTGGCTTGACAGCTCTTTTTATTTTTTATTTTATTTATTTTATTTTTTTATTTTTTTTTTAGAGGGAGTCTTGCTCTGTCGCCCAGGCTGGAGGGCAGTGGCGTGATCTCCACTCACTGCAAGCCAAGCTCCACCTCCCGGGTTCACGCCATTCTCCTGCCTCAGCCTCCCGTGTAGCTGGGACTACAGGCACCTGCCACTGCACCTGGCTAAGTTTTTGTATTTTTAGTAGCCACGGGGTTTCACCGTGGTAGCCAGGATGGTCTCTATGTGCTGACCTCGTGATCTGCCTGCCTCGGCCTCCCAAAGTGCTGGGATTACAAGCGTGAGCCATCTCACCCGGCCAACAGCTCATTTATTTTATCATTGAATGATATTCAATTGTCTGGATGTACCACAGTTTGTTAATTCACCTACTGAAGGAAATCTTGCTTGTCTCCAAGTTTTTGCAATTATAAATAAAGCTTCCATAAACATCTGTGTGCAGGTTTCTGTGTGGACATAAGTTTTCAACTCCTTTGGATATATACCAAGAAACAAGATTGCTGGGTCGTATAATAAGAGTAGATTTAGTTTTCTAAGAAGCCACAAAACTGTTCTCCATTTTGTATTTCTATCAGCACTGAATGAGAGCTCCTGTTGCTTCACATCCTCATCAGCATTTGGTGTTGTCAGGGTTCTGGATTTTTGCCTTTCTAATACGCATGCAGTAGTATCTCATTGCAGTGCTGTATTTGAGAATGTGAATAGCTGCAGTTCATTCACTCTTAGTGCTGCGAGGTACTCTATTATCGGAATATATGATCATTTAGTTACCCAGTCCACTATCTACCCATATTGAGAGATAACTAGATTGTTTCCAGGTTTTTGAAATTGGGAACATTCTCATATATCTCTAGGTAAACAAATGCAAGAATTTTTCTGGGGCCTGTAACAGGCTGACTAGGTTGCACTAGGTTGTAGTGAAGTCACTGGGTCATAGGGTACATTATGATCAGCTGTATGAGCCAGCATCTGTCTGTTTTCCAAATGGCTGTCCTACTTTAGTGTGTGGGATGAATACTTCCATGTTTCTTTATCCTTGCCAATACCACACGTTTCGGAACTTCATAAAAAAATTGTCAATATGTGTGAAAGGATATCTAATTGTTAATTTTCATTTTCATGATTATTATGAGGTTGAGCACTTTTTACATGCTTATGGGATATTTGTGCTAACTTCTCAACAGACATGTTATTTTTCACTTATTTATAGGAGGCATATTCTGGATACCAGACCTTTCTAGGTAAGATGTGTTGCAAATAGCTCTGCCAAGTTTTGGGTATTTTTTTTCACATTGCAGTATCCTTTAATAAACAGAAGTATTAAATTTTTGTGTTATCAAATCAATTTTTCCTCTTTCAGTTTGTTCTTCCTCCCCAGGTAAAGATAAAAGATATGGCCGGGCGCGGTGGCTCACGCCTGTAATCTCAGCACTTTGGGAGGCCGAGGTGGGCAGATCACAAGGTCAGGAGATCGAGACCATCCTGGCTACCACGGTGAAACCCTGTCTCTAGTAAAAATACAAAAAATTAGTCCAGGCGGGGTGGCGGGCGCCTGTAGTCCCAGCTACTCCGGAGGCTCAAGCAGGAGAATGGCATGAACATGGGAGAGGAGGTGGAGCTTGCAGTTAGCCAAGACCGCGCCACTGCACTCCAGCCTGGGCAACAGAGCGACTCCATCTCAAAAAAGAAAAAAATAATTCTTCCCAGGTTTTTTTCTAAAAATGTTGAGAAGCTATCTTTATCCGTTAAAATATATTTTTATGTTTGTTCTCCAGGATTAAGTTTCAATTTCATTTTTTTCCCTTATGGAGATCAGTGGTCCCAGTGTTGCTTATTGTAAAATATACTATCTTCACTTAACAACAATGAAAGCTGTGTTACAAAATCTGTTTCCCAGTATTAGTGCAAAATATATTTCTCTTTATGATTGTACTCAGATTAACTAGTTTGCAGGACTGTGTCCAGAGTTGGTTCCTTCCGGTGGGTTCGTGGTCTCCCTGACTTCAAGAATGCAGCTGTGGACCTTCCTGGTGAGTGTTACAGTTCTTAAAGATGGCACGGAACCAAAAAGTGAGCCTAGGAAGGTTTATTGCTGAGAGCGAAAGAACAAAACTTCCACACCCTGGAAGGTGACCCCACCTGGTTGCTGCTGCTGGTTGCGGGTGGCCAGCTTTTATCCCCTTATTTCTTCCCACCCATGTTGTGTTTCTGTCTTATCAGAGTGCCCTTTTTTCAATCCTCTCCACTATTGACTACTTTTAGAATCCTGCTGATTGGTGTGTTTTACAGAGGCTGATTGGTGCATTTTACAAATTCCTTGTAGGACAGGAAAGTTCCCCAAGTCCGCACTCGACCCAGGAAGTGCAGCTGGCCTAACCTCTCACTGCCAGAGGCTAATTTCCATCCTGGTATTTCTCAGGCCCATAGATAGTGTGAATTC